>NC_000015.10:21828502-22128502 GCF_000001405.40 Homo sapiens
GAATTCCAACTTTCCCCATGCTATTTGGGCACGTTGCTTAACATCTCTAAGACTCGATATTCATACTCTTAAGATACTACTAATAATAGTACCTAGTTTTTATGATATAATGTGCATCAAAAGCATTATACTTTCAGGCAGATGGCAATTTCTCAATAAATATTTGCTAATGTTTTAGTACAAACAGGAAAATTGGATTATGATATTTATGACACTGTTGATTCTCCTTCTAGAAACATTTGTATCTAAAACTTGTTTTCAAATTAGAGCACTATTTTGTATTCAGATTGAAAATACTATATGTTCAGATTTTTTAAAAAACAGTATTGCATGAATGTTTTAATTAAAATATTCCTAAATGAGCTTGAGCAAGGAGGACAGGGGAGATAAGTAAAATAAGGCTTTGTGGCATAGGAGACATTTGGTGGAAATCTTTCAGCTCAACTAAGATTTGAAAAAAAAAGAGAATTTTTATAAAAAATGTAAAGGCAGGATTTACACTGATGAGCTTGTGGAGAAAATACAGAGTCTAACATAATTCAAAAGAGACTAATCAGTCAAAGTGGTTTTGAAGGAATATCTTGAAGAGAGAGAACATAAAATGAAGATCAGGTATGTAGTTATTTTAATAATCTATCCATGAGATAAAAAGCATTGGGTTTTATTTGTCAAAATGGGACAATAGTTCCAAGAACCATTATTTGCTCAGCCTAAAGAGGTTTTTACATTTTGAACCAGCGACATATTGTGCTAAGTAGGATAATATCCAAATTTGTGTCTATATCAATAATTTTGTTCTCAATTAAAAACACTTTATTCACACAACTGATGATTATCTGCATTTGATTTAGTGCTGAACTGTCAAAGGGGGACTAACAAAAACAAAATATTAGAGTTGCAAGCAGTGTAAGTGGAAAATAATGATCATATTGAACTCATCATTACTGAAATAAGAAAACAAAGCAAAAAATAAATAAGAAAAAAATTGACTACGTGAACATTTGCTTCTCTCCTAAGAATCAAAACCCTTAATTTGCTGTGGCAAAAAAGCATCTGGGTCCATGAACCCATGCAAAAGTCTACTGTTTCTGGGAGATAAGAAGAAGCAAAACACATCAGCTTCCAGAGAAGGTTAAGAAACCTCTCATACCCTACCCTACCCCACCTGACACCAGGCAAAGGATCACTGCTTCTGGGAGAGGGATGCAAGAAAAATACTCCTCCATCAGGAGAGGAACAAGGATTGTTTTGGGGCCCAGGATTTTGCACTAATGCAGAGTCGTGCTACTGTGGTAAAGGTTTGGAAAGTCTCCATCCAGTGACCACAGACAAAGGTACATTGTTCCTATGGAAGGAGAAATAAAAGAGTTTGCCCTTATTGTGGGGTTGAAAACTTGCAATGATATAAATCAGGGGTTTTCTACTACTGAGGTGGGAGGAGGGTAAGGTATTATTTCTTCTGCAAAAAACAACACAGGTAAGTGACAGTTTGACTCCCACTAGAAAAAGAGTCAAGAAGCGTTAAAAATACCCCATCTCTGAGTGTCCAATGATGAAACTGGCTCAAAAACAACACAAACCATCCCTCTGTCCCCAACCTGAATTTTTTGCCTAGTCACACACACACACACAAAATGATGTTCTACAGTTAGAGAAGAACAAGAAAGTGGAGAGAGACCCTCTCTATAACATAGGTTGTAAGGACTACCGAAAGCTAACTGTGGAACAGGATCATTGGCATATGCTCTCCAGAGTCTAAGGCCCCACACAAGGCACATCATATAGCAGTCTACTGCTGGAGAAATCTGAGTTACATTGTTCACTGAATGTTTCAGACACCGCAGCAAAAAGCAACCTTTGTTCCTGCCCACACTAATCGCATGACACAAACAAAAATGAAACAGAAATATAAAACAATCTCGACATAAATAATTATCTCATGATCTACTGTTTTTCTACATCAGATGATTTGCATTTTTTAGAAATTGGGAGACACATAAAAGCAAGTTAGAAATTTGAGTTATGAGTTATAATATTTTCAAAGGATAAAAAGTCAACAGAATCAAATTCAGAGATAATTCAGATGTTGGAACTAAATGAAAGTAATTTAAAATAATAATGATCAAAATGTTAAAGGATCTAGTTAAAAAAAGACAACATGTATGGAAAAATGAGGAATTTCAGCAAAGATGGGAACAGTAAAAGGCAAAATCTAGAAATAAGTGAAAGCATGAGAACAGAGATGAAGTATTACATCAGCAAGCTGATTAGCAGACTGGTCATCAGAGTTAAAGAAAGAAGCAGTAAATTTTATACTAGGTCAATACAAATCATTTGAATGGTAGCACAAAGGGAGGAAAGAGAAAAACCAAATAAACCAATGAACCAAGCAAATAAAATACTCCAGTGAATCAAAGAATTTTCTGGTAATATGAAATTAACCAAAATACAATTAATTGGAATTACAGAAGGAGAGTAAAAACAGAATGTGAGAGAAGAAAAATTTGAAAAAGATGACTGAGGAGACCAAATAACCTCAAAATATACAAGAAAGATTAATACAAAATTTAAAGAACGCTAGAATAATCACACTAGTGAAACTGCTGAAAACCAACGATTAGCATAAATCTTGAATTCAGTCACAGAAAAAATAAGAACACTGTGTAGAGAGATAAACAGAAACAAACATTGTAATGAACTGCTTGTCAGTAACTCTACAAGTCAGAAACCAATGATACAAAATTCTTAAATAACTGAAGAAAAGTCAACCCCCAATCTTATATCCATTAACTGTAATACAGCAAAAATAACAATTAAATGACATTTGCAGATTAACACTGGAAGAGTCCCTTGCTAACAGGTATGCACTAAAATAAATGTCAAAATCATTTCTTGAGGCAAAAGGAATATGGAAGCAGGTGAAAGTTGAAACTACACAAAGAAATAAATAATGCCAGAGAAGATATAAAGATATATAACCCAATTATTTTACATTGCTCTAAAGATAATTGATTGTCTAATTTTTTAAAAAAAGAGTAACTTTATATTATGGAATTCATAATATTTGAGACTATAATGCATGACATAAATAGTATAAAGGAGAGAGGAAACAGAAATATACATTTTAAGGTTTTTATACCATAGTTGGTATAGTACAAATTATAGGTTACTGTAATAAGCTAGAATAGGTATTGAAATCTCTAGAGAAACCATGAACATTTTTAAAAAATGGTATGTGCATTAATGTTTTCATAGAACTTCCAGCTTTTATTTATTTGTTTGTATTCATTTAATTTTATTTATTTTTTTTGAGATGGAGTCTCGCCCTGTTGCCCAGGCTGCAGTGCAATGGTGTGATCTCAGCTCACTGCAACCACCTCCGCCTCCCAGGTTCCAATGATTCTCCTGCCTCAGCCTCCTGAGTAGCTGGGATTACAGGTGCCCACCACCATGCCCAGCTAATTTTTGTATTTTTAGTAGAGACGGGGTTTCACCATGTTGGCCAGGCTTGTCTCAAACTCCTGGCCTCATGATCGGCCCACCTCAGCTTCCCAAAGTGCTGGGATTACAGACTTGAGACACCGTGCCAGGCCCCAGCTTTTAGTTTTTAAGGTAGTTGTTGTGTTATTACATGTGAAGTAAGGTTATTCTTAAATATCCATGTTTTGAGAATTAATGATAATGACAAGTTAATTTATCTCAATCTAAATGACATTTTAATATTAAATATTTAAATATTTTTATTACTTTTCCTTTTTAACAGAAGTCATTCTAACTGGTGTGAGATGGTATTTCACTGATGTTTTGTTTTGCATTTCTCTGATGATTAGTGATGGTATGCATGTGTTAATATGTTTGTTGGCCACATATGTGTTCTTCTGAAAACTGTTCACGTTCTTTGCCCATTTTTTAATGGGGTTATTTATTTTTTGCTCGTTGATTTGCCTAAGTCTCTTATGGCTTCTGGATAATAGGCCTTTGCTGTATGCATAGTGTGTGAATATTTTCTTCCACTCGGTAGGCTGTCTGTTCAATCCCTTGAGAGTTTCTCATGCTGTGCAGAAGAAGCTCTTTAGTTTAATTAAATCATACTTGTCAATTTTTATTTTTCTGGCAATTGCTTTTGAGGACTTACCCATAAATTCATTGCCAAGTGCAATGTCCAGGTGAATATTTCCTAGGTTTTCTTCCAGGATTTTTATAGGCAGAGGATGTAATCTCATGTCAATGGGTCTTAATAATCAAATGACTCCACACTGAGAATCATTACTGTGAAAAATCGATTTTGTTATAATGATAGAAATTTAAACATATAAAAGTAAAAACAGATGCCACCTCTTTGCTAGAACTCTACAAGGCAAATTACTATAAGAGAGCCATTGCAGTGAAATAAGTGAAAGCACATTATAAATAAACTTACCTGATTTTACAAACTAACCTGTAAAGGGATTTGTACTAATTTTTCCATTGCCTGCATTGCCCTTTCTTCTAGATCCAATTTATATTTTTGTACTTCACCAATGTGTCTTCACCAATGTGTACTTTCCATACGTCTTTTAAGATTTAATATTACTTTTTCCAACATCTTTTTAGCCTCCTCAAGATTTTTACATTCCTGTTGTATTTTTTCATACATAATAACTCCTGTTGAATACCTTGATTGTTTTGAGTCAAACAGACATATTTTGAAGATACAGCTTCCAGCTCTGCTGTAAGATCACCAAACTACATTAATAAAATAATATAACTTGAAAATGAAGTAGGCTGAGAATAATCTCATACAAAACCAGTAACAAATTTTGAAATACATTTACTTGCAATAAAATGTTATCTATAATGTAGATTCTTTAAATGTTAACCCTTAAATTACTCAGAAATTCAAGAACAAAGTAAAAGCCACCATAAGTCACATATATTCTTTACTATCATCTTTGCCACAGAACTTTTGCACTTGATCTTTCTTTTACTTTTCTGATAATTTGTGTTTTTTCCTCCTTAAATGGCTCTATGTTAACTCTTATTAGAAAGTTTCAAACCCCTTTCTCTCATCATCGTGCCCCAAAATTTGTCAAAAAAAGTTTCAGAGATATAATATTGAGTTATTTAGGCCAAAGTCAATAAATGGCTCTTAGAATAAGACTTTGAAAATAATGTAATACTCTATGCTAGGCATGGTGGCTCATGCCTGTAATCCCAGCACTATAGGAGGCTGTGGCAGAAAGATTACTTGAGGCCAGGAATTTGAAACCAGCCAGAGCAACATAGTGATAACATAATCTCGACAAAAAATTTTATTTAAAATTAACCAGGCATGGTGACTTATGCTTGTAGATCCAACTAGTTGGGAGACTAAGGCACAAGGATGGCTTGGACTCAGAGTTCATGGCTGCAGTGAATTATGACCAAGCCACTCCACTTCTGCCTGGATGACAGACAGAGACCATATCTCAAAAAAACACAAAATAATCCTATAAATAAGGATTCTAATGCCATAAGCCTTTCCCTAGGCTGTAAATGTTTTATGCTAATTTGAATTGCATTTTTAAAAGTAATGACTCTTGGGGTAGAGGCCATAGAATACAGCACCCAGATATAAATCCACATATTTGCCTTACAAGAAATAAATCCACATTCTTGCCTTACAAGAGCTCCTGAAGGAAGCACTAAACATGGAAAGGGACAAACAGTATGAGCCACTGGGAAAACATACCAAATTGTAACGACCATCGACACTATAAAGAAACTGCATTAACTAATGGGAAAAATAAACAGCTAACAACATCATGACAGGATAAATTTCACATGTAACAATATTAACCTTAAATGTAACTGGGCTAAATGCCCCAGTAAAAAGACACAGACTGGCAAGTTGGAAAAAGACTCAAGACCCATTGGTGTGCTGTATTCAGGAGACCCATCTCACATGCAAAGACACACACAGGCTCAAAATAAAGGGACGGAGGAATATTTACCAAGCAAATGAAAAGCAAAAAAAAAAAAAAAAAAAAAAAAAAAAGCAGGGGTTGCAATCCTAGTCTCCGATAAAACAGACTTTAAATGGAAAAGATCAAAAGAGACAAAGGGCATTACAAAGCAGTGCCATCTGCTTTTCCTCAGGACTCTGCTCCATCAGCCATCAGGTGGCAGCCATTCAGGCTGTTGGAACCTGGCCATCCATGCTTCTTTGAGTGGGTGAGATTAAAGGCTGGTCCAACTGCACCAGGAGCATGCTTGCAGAGGTGGCTGCTTGCTCTTTGAGCCAGCTTGGCTTTGCCTGGCATGCACAGGCCCCAGCTACTGACAAGCTGCTCTGAGTGAGCTTGTCCTGCCTGGGGCCAAATTCTAAGTCTGGCCAGGGCCACAGAAGGGCAAGTCCCCTGGGTGGTAATCCTGACTTTTTTCTGCACTTGAACATAAAGTCCTCCTCAAGATGGCCTGTGGTCTGCCTCTTGGCAACCAAGAAGCCTGCAGTGCCATATAAGCTCGGAGGCATGGACTAGAGCCCCAAAGGCAGTGAACACCCTGCTCCTGAGCCTGCTGCTCATTTCCTCTGTGTGGCTCCATTTGTAGCACAGTTGTTGTACTGAGGCTTGTGCATGCTGGGCAAGGACAAGCTGGCTCAAAGAGGAACCAGCCACTTCTGCAAGGGTGTGCCAGGAGCAGGTAGACCAGCCACCAACCTCACTCACTGCCTGCCAGACATGGCACATCAGTTCTTCTACCCTAGAGGTAGGGCCCCAGTGCCATCTGCTTTTTCTGAGGCCTCTGCTCCATCAGCCATCAGGTGGCAGCCACACAGGCTGTGGGAACCTGCCTATCCTTGCTTCCTTGAGTAGCAGAGGTTGGTGGCTGCTCTACCTGCTCCCGGTGCACCCCTGCAAAGGTGGCTGGTTGCTCTTTGAGCCAGCTTGGCCTTGCCTGACATGCAGAGGCCCCAGCTACTGACATGCTCCTCTGAGTGAGCTTGTCCTGCCTTGGCCCAAATTCTAAGTCTGGTCAGGTCCACAGAAGGCAGAGTCCCCTGGGTGGTAATGCTGGCTGCTTTCTGCATTTGAACACAAAGTCCTCCTCCAGACGACCTGTGGTCTGCCCCTTGGCAATGAAGAAGCCCGCAGTGCCATATGAGCCCTGAGGCATGGACTGGAGCCCCAAAGGCAGTGCACACCGTGCTCCTGATCCTGCTGCTCATTTCCTCTCTGTGGCTCCATTTGTAGCACAGTTGTTGCACTGAGGCTTGTGCATGCCGAGCGAAGCCAAGCTGGCTCAAAGAGGAACCAGCCACCTCTGCAAGGGTGTGCCAGGAGCCGGTGGAGCAGACACTAAACTCACTCGCTGCCGGTTGGGGCACATCAGTTCTTCTCCCATAGAGGTCGGGCCCCAGTGCCATCTGCTTTTCCTCAGGCCTCTGCTCCATCAGTCTCCAGGTGGCAGCCACTCAGACTGTTGGAACCTGGCCATCCATGCTTCCTTGTGTGGGTCAGTTTGATGGCTGCTACATCTGCTCCAGGCACACCCTTGCAGAGGTGGCTGGTTGCTCTTTGAGACAGCTTGGCCTTGCCTGGCATGCACAGGCTCCAGTTACCGATACGCTGCTCTGAGTGAGCTTGTCCTGCATTAGGCAAAATTCTAAGTCCGGTCAGGGCCACAGAAGGCAGAGTCCCCTGGGTGGTAATCCTGGCTGCTTTCTGCACTTGAACATAAAGTCCTCCTCAAGATGGCCTGTGGTCTGCCTCTTTGCAACCAAGAAGCCCACAGAGCCATACTAGCCCGGAGGCATTGACTGGAGCCCCAAATGCAGCACACACCCTGCTCCTGAGCCTGCTGCTCTGTTTTCTCTGTGTGGCCCCATTTGTAGCACAGTTGTTGTACTGAGGCTTGTGCATGCTGGGCAAGGCCAAGCTGGCGCAAAGAGAAACCAGCCACCTCTGCAAGGGTGTGCCAGGAGCAGGAGGACCAGCCACCAACCTCGCTCACAGCCGGTCGGTGTACATCACTTCTTCTACCCAAGAGGTAGAGCCCCAGTGCCATCTGCTTTTCCTCAGGCCTCTGCTCCATCAGCCATCAGGACGCAGACATGCAGGCTGTGGGAACCTGGCCATCCCTACTTCCTTGAGTGGGTGAGGTTGGTGGCTGCTCCACCTGCTCCAGGTGCACCCTTGCAGAGGTGGCTGGTTGCTCTTCGAGCCACCTTGGCCTTGCCTGGCATGCACAGGACCCAGCTACTGATACACTGCTCCGAGTGAGCTTGCCCTGCCTGGGGCCAAATTCTAAGTCTGGCCAGGGCCACAGAAGGCAGAGCCCCTGGGTGGTAATACTGGCTGCTTTCTGCATTTGAACATAAAGTCCTCCTCAAGATGGCCTGTGGTCTGCATCTTGGCAACGAAGAAGCCCACAGTGCCACACGAGCCCTGAGGCATGGACTGGAGCCCCAAAGGCAGCGCACACCCTGCTCCTGAGCCTGCTGCTCGTTTCCTCTATGTGGCTCCATATGTAGCACAGTTGTCGCACTGAGGCTTGTGCATGCCAGGCAAGGCCAAGCTGGCTCGAAGAGTAACCAGCCACCTCTGCAAGGGTGTGCCAGGAGCAGATGGACCAGCCACCAACCTCACTCACTGCCGGTCAGGGTACATCACTTCTTCTACCCTAGATGTAGGGTCCCAGTGCCATCTGCTTTTCCTCAGGCCTCTGCTCCATCAGCCATCAGGAGGCAGCCACTCAGGTTGTTGGAATCTGGCCATCCCTGCTTCCTTGAGTGGGTGATGTTGGTGGCTGCTCCACCTGCTCCTGGAGCACCCTTGCAGAGGTGGCTTGTTGCTCTTTGAGACAGCTTGGCCATGCCTTTCATGCACAGGCTCCAGCTACTGACACGCTGCTCTGAGTGTGCTTGTCCTGAGTTAGGCCAAATTCTAAGTCCGGTCAGGGCCACAGAAGGCAGAGTCCCCTGGGTGGTAATCCTGGCTGCTTTCTGCACTTGAACATAAAGTCCTCCTCAAGATGGCCTGTGGTCTGCCTCTTTGCAACCAAGAAGCCCACAGAGCCATACTAGCCCGGAGGCATTGACTGGAGCCCCAAATGCAGCACACACCCTGCTCCTGAGCCTGCTGCTCTGTTTTCTCTGTGTGGTTCCATTTGTAGCACAGCTGTTGCACTGAGGCTTGTGCATGCTGGGCAAGGCCAAGCTGGCGCAAAGAGAAACCAGCCACCTCTGCAAGGGTGTGCCAGGAGCAGGTGGACCAGCCACCAACCTCACTCACAGCTGGTCGGTGTACATCACTTCTTCTACCCAAGAGGTAGAGCCCCAATGCCATCTGCTTTTCCTCAGGCCTCTGCTCCATCAGCCATCAGGATGCAGCCATGCAGGCTGTGGGAACCTGGCCATCCCTACTTCCTTGAGTGGGTGAGGTTGGTGGCTGCTCCACCTGCTCCAGGTGCACCCTTGCAGAGGTGGCTGGTTGCTCTTTGAGCCAGCTTGGCCTTGCCTGGCATACACAGGCCCCAGCTACCGACATGCTGCTCTGAGTGAGCTTGTTCTGCTTTGGCCCAAATTTTATCTCTGTCCAGGGCAGAGTCCCCTGGGTGGTAATCCTGCCTACTTTCTGCACTTGAATATCAAGTCCTCCTCAGGATGGCCTGTGGTCTGCCTCTTTGCAACGAAGAAGCCCGCAGTGCCACACGAGCCCTGAGGCATGGACTGGAGCCCCAAAGGCAGCGCACACCCTGCTCCTGAGCCTGCTGCTCATTTCCTCTCTGTGACTCCATACCTAGCACAGATGTTGCACTGAGGCTTGTGTATGCCAGGCAAGGCCAAGCTGGCTCAAAGAGCAACCAGCCACCTCTGCAAGCGTGTGCCAGGAGCCGGTGGAGCAGCCACCAAACTCACTTGTTGCAGGTGAGGGCACATCAGTTCTTCTACCCTAGAGGTAGGGCCCCAGTGCCATCCGCTTTTCCTCAGGCCTTTGCTCCATCAGCCATCAGGAGGCAGCCATTCAGGCTGTGGGAACTTGGCCATCCCTACTTCCTTGAGTAGCTGAGGTTGGTGGCTGCTCCACATGTCCCAGGTGCACCCTTGCAGAGGTGACTGGTTCCTATTTGAGTCAGCTTGGCCTTGCCTGGCATGCATAGTCTCCAGCTACTGACATGCTGCTGTGAGTGAGCTTGTCCTGCCTTGGCCCAAATTCTAAGTCTGGTCAGGGCCACAGAACGCCAAGTCCCCTGGGTGGTAATCCTGCTGCTTTCTATACTCGAACATAAAGTCCTCCTCAAGACAGCCTGTGGTCTGCCTCTTGGCAACCAAGAAGCCCGCAGTGACATATGAGCCCTGAGCCATGGACTGGAGCACCAAAGGCAGTGTACACCCTGCTCCTGAGCCTGCCTCTAATGTCCTCTGTGTGGTTCCATTTGTAGAACAGTTGTTGCACTGAGACTTGTGCATGCTGGGCAAGGCCAAGCTGGCTCAAAGAGCAACCAGCCACCTCTGCAAGGGTGTGCCAGGAGCAGGTGGACCAGCCACCAACATCACTTGCTGCCAGACATGGTACCTCAGTTCTTCTACCCTAAAGGTAGGGCCCCAGTGCCATCTGCTTTTCCTCAGGCCTCTGCTCCATCAGCCATCAGGTGGCAGCCACTCAGGCTGTGGGAACCTGGCCATCCCGGCTTTGTTGAGGGGGTGAGATTGGTGGCTGGTCCAACTGCTCTAGGCACACCCTTGCAGAGGTGGCTGGTTGCTCTTTGAGCCAGCTTGGCTTTGCCTGGCATGCACAGGCCCCAGGTACTGACACGCTACTCTGAGTGAGCGTGTCATGCCTGGGGCCAAATTCTAAGTCTGGCCAGGGTCACAAAAGGCTGAGTCCCCTAGGTTGTAATCCTGGCTGCTTTCTGCACTTGAACATAAAGTCCTCCACAAGATGGCCTGTGATCTGCCTCTTGGCAACCAAGAAGCCCACGGTGCCATATGAGCCCTGAGGCATGGACTGGAGCCCCAAAGGCAGTGTACACCCTGCTCCTGAGCCTGCTGGTCATTTTCTGTGTGGCTCCATTTGTAGCACAGTTGTTGCACTGAGGCTTGTGAATGCCAGGCAAGGCCAAGCTGGCTCAAAGAGCAACCAGCCACCTCTGCAAGGATCCACCTGGAGCAGGTGGACCAGCCACCAACCTCACCCACTTAAGGAAGCAGGGAATGTGTGTTTGTACCATGCATTGCACTACAAGTACATTTCTCCTGAGTTTGGTGGCCTAGGTTTTCTTCTAGGTTTTTTATGGTTTTAGGTCTTAAGTTTAACTCTTCAATCCATCGTAAGTTAATTTTTGTATAAAGTGTAAGGAAGTGGCCCAGTTTCAGTTTTCTGCATATGGCTAGCCAGTTTTCCTAACACCATTTATTGAATAAGGAATCCTTTCCCCATTGCTTGTTTTTGTCAGGTTTGTCAAAGATCAGATGGTTTTAGATGTGTTGTGTCATTTCTGAGGCCTCTGTTCTGTTCCATTTGTCTATATATCTGGTTTGGTACCAGTACCATGCTGTTTTGGTTACTGTAGCCTTGTAGAATAGTTTGAAGTCAGGTACCATGATGCCTCCAGCTTTGTTGTTTTTGCTTAGATTGTCTTGGCTACGCGAGCTCTTTTTTGGCTCCATATGAAATTTAAAGTAGTGTTTCTAATTGTGGGAAGAAAGTCAATGGTAGCTTCATGGAGATGGCACTGATTCTATAAATTACTTTGGGAGATATGGCATTCAGGCACAGAAATGTCCTTGTGTTAGGCAATACCATTCAGGACATAGGCATAGGCGAAGACTTCATCACTAGAACACCAAAAGCGATGGCAACAAAAGCCAAAATTGACAAATGGGATCTAATTAAACTAAAGAGTGTCTGCACAGCAAAAGAAACTATCATCAGAGTGAACAGGCAACCCTCAGAAAGGGAGAAAATTGTTGCAATCTATCCATCTGACAAAGGGCTAATATGCAGAATCTATAAAAACTTAAACAAATTTACAAGAAAAAAACAAACAACCCCATCAAAAAGTGGGCAAAGGATATGAACAGACACTTCCCAAAGGAGACATTTACGCAGCCAATGAACATGTGAAGCAAAGCACTGGTCATTAGAGAAATGGAATTCAAAACCATAATGAGATACAATCTTACGCCACTTGGAATGGCCATCATTAAAAAATCAGGAAACAACAGAAGCTGGAGAGGATGTGGAGAAATAGGAATGCTTTTACACTGTTGGTGGGAGTATAAATCAGTTCAACCATCGTGGAAGACAGTGTGATGATTCCTCAAGGATCTACAACTAGAAATACCATTTGACCCAGCAATCCCATTACAGTGTATATACTCAAAAAAATATAAATCATTCCAATATAAAGACACATGCACACGTATGCTTATTGCGGCAGTGTTCACAACAGGAAAGACTTGGAACCAACCCAAATGCCCACCAATGATAGACTGGATAAAGAAAATGTGGCATATATACACCATGGAATACTATGCAGTCATAAAAAAGGATGAGTTCATATCCTTTGCAGGGACATGGATGAAGCTGGAAACTGTCATTCTCAGCAAACTAACACAAGAACAGAAAACCAAACACCACATGATCTCACTCATAAGTAGGACCTGAACAATGAGAACACATGGACACAGGAAGGGAAACATCACACACAAGGGCCTGTCAGGGTGGGGGGCTAGAAAAGGGATGGCATTAGATCATGGGTTGGTGCATGCAGCAAGCCACCATAGCATGTGTATACGTATGTAACAAACCTGCATGTTCTGCACATGTACCCCAGAACTTAAAGTATAATTAAAAAAAAATAAATTTGCTTTTAATTAAGCTTTTCAACATAGAACTTGTAAAGAAAATACTTCTGAATCTTTTACTACCACATCATAGCTGGGACAAACTGCTGATATTTTAAAAGTAACACAAATATCAAACAGAAAGAACTAGACTTAGGAACCAAACTCAGGTTTCTGTAGTGAACAGGGCAGAATCTTAACTTTGGGTCGCCACCACTACTCCCTCAGTTTGGCCTTGGCTAGCAAAAGATGCAACCACTTATGTAAAAAATAAAAATAAAAAAGTTAAAAAAATCATTTCTGCTAACTGGAATTTTTTTTTTTTTTGCAGCCACATGAGTTTTAGCCAATTCAGAAGCCTTGTTCCCCACAATTTGGAGCATTCTTTGGATTTGACCAAGTCAGGAAGAGATGGGAGAAAAGTGAAACAACAACAACAAAACCCCAAACATAAACAAACAAAAAGAGTTAAGCAAAACAAACAAATGCACAATTCATATGATTACTGAGTGTTCTAATGGTAACGAGAAATTAAAAGCAGCTGGTGAGTAATCTTAAATTTTAGTCATTAAGGAAAAATTTTAAGACAAAACTCTAATTCAGCTACTTACCTGGAAATAAGTCTCAGGCTGGTGATTGTTCTCTGCCATCTTAGAAGCTGGAAAAAACTTACACTCACCTTCCCTGTCAGAAGCAAGCTGAAACTCAAGAAAGGAGGTGCCTGCTCTCCATCATCACGGAAGCAGGAAAACTTGCCTTGTTGGAAATAAGTAAAACTTCAGAAAAGGAGTTGTATAGCAAAATCAACCTTAGATCTCAACCAAATTTTGGGAGATCAGGGATTCTCTGCAGGGGAGAAGCTCCCTAACCTCAGCACATTATCCTATTGGTTTGGGCAATAAAGATAGCCCAGGTTGGTATCAAGCAATAATGAGATTTATCAAAGGTCAGGACCACCTTTGTAATCTCCTTCTCTCTTTTTTTTTTTTTTTTTTTTTTTTTTTTTGAGACGGAGTCTCACTGTCTCGCCTGGGCTGCAGTGCAGTGGCACGATCTTGGCTCACTGCAAGCTCCACTTCCCAGGTTCACACCATTCTCCTGCCTCAGCCTCCCAAGTAGCTGGGACTACAGGCACCCGCCACCATGCCCAGCTAATTTTTTGTATTTTTCGTAGAGACGGGGTTTCACCGTGTTAGCCAGGATGGTCTCGATCTCCTGACCTTGTGATCCATCTGTCTCAGCCTCCGAAAGTGCTGGGATTACAGGCATGAACCACCGCGCCCAGCCCTCTGTCTTTTTTTTTTTCTTTTTAATCTTTATTGGTATAGTCTGCTTTGTCAGAAACTAGGAGTGCAACACCTGCTTTTTTCTATTTTCCATTTCCTTGAAATATTTTTCTCCATTCCTTTATTTTGAGCCTATGTAGGGCACTGCATGTGAGATGGGTTTCTTGAAGATGGCATACTCCAATGGGTCTTGGTTCTTTATCCAGCTTGCCCCCTGTGTCTTTCAATTGGAGCATTTAGCCCATTTCCATTTAAGGTTAGTAATGGTATGTGTGGATTTGATCCTCTCGTCATGCTGTCAGCTGGCTTTTTTGCAGACTTATGTATGTGGTTGGTTTTTAGCATCACTTGTCTGTGTACTTCAGTGTGTTTTTGTAGTGGCTGGTGGTGGTCTTTTCTTTCCATATTTAGTGCTTCCTTCAGGAGCTCTTGTAAGGTAGGTCTGGTGATAATGAATTCCCTCAGCATTTGCTTGTCTGAAAAGGATCTTGTTTCTCCTTCACTTATGATGCTTAATTTTGCTGGACATGAAATTCTGGGTTGAAATTTCTTTTCTTTAAGATGTTGAATATCTTTTCTGGCTTGTACAGTTTCAGTTGAGAGGTCTGCTAAGTCTGATGGAATTTCCTTTGCAGGTGATGTTGCCTTTCTCCCTAGCTGCCTTTAACACTTTTTCTTTCATTTTGACCGCAGAGAATCTGATGATTATGTGTCTTGGGGATGATCTTCTCATGGCATATCTTACTGAGGTTCTCTGGATTTCCTGAAGTTGAGTGTTGGCCTGTCTGGCTAGGTTGGGGACATTCTCATGAATGATATTCTGAAATGTGTTTTCCAAGTTGGTTCCATTCTCCTCATCTCTTTCAGGTACATTAATCAGTCATAGATTTAGTCGTTTATATAATCCCATATTTCTCAGATGTTTTGTTCATTCCCTTTCATTCTTTTTTCCCCCATTCTTGTTTGCCTGTTTTATTTCAGAAAGCCAGTTTCCAGGTTCTGGGATTCTTTCCTCTTCTTGGTCTATTCTGTTGGATGGTCTTGCACATGAGATGGAGCTGGTCTGACCTCAGCCCTCCCTAGTCTGCTTGCCTCTCCCAGGACCCCAGCCTGGCCACATCTGCTTACAGGGCACTCTCAGGTGCCCACACATACTACAATAATTTTCATAATGCAATCACACACAATCACCGTGTGACTGCATTATGAAAATTCTTCTAGTGTGATTTACAGCTCTGTCAGGTCAGTTATTTTCTTCTTTATACTTGCTATTTTGTCTGTTAGTTCCTGCAATGTTTTACAATGATTTTTAGCTTCCTTGTATTGGATTACAACATACCTCTTTCACTCAGGGAACTTTGTTCCTACCCATATCCTGAACTCTGCTTGTATCATTTCAGACATCTCAGCCTCAGCCCAGTTCTGAACACTTGCTGGAGAGTTGATGCAGTCATTTGGAGAAAAGAAAGCATGCTGAATTTTTGAGTTTTCAGTGTTCTTGCACAGAGTCTTTTTCTCATCTTTATGGGCTTATCCACCTTCAATCTTTGAGGCTGCTGACCTTTGGACAGGGTATTTTTCCTTTATTATATCTGATGACCTTGAGGATTTGATTGTGGTGTAAGGTGGATTCAGCCAACAGGTTTTGTCTTTGGAGGATTTTAAGGGGCCAACATGCAGCTCCCAATTCTTGGACTGTGTGCTTTAACTCTGGGGAACTTGTATTGGGCCACAACTTTGTTCTCTGGCTCCTCGAGGTTTGGAGTCCACCGCACTGAGGGGACCAAAGTGCGGCAGCTGTGGCAGAATGCTAGCAGATGCAAAAGTCCCTGCCTCCCTGTGGGCATTCACCTAGTGGTGGAGGCAAAACAGCTGGGGTGTGGGCCAGGGGGCCCCTGCTGACTGTGTGTGCTGTTGCACTGGAGGTAGTTCTGGTTTGGGGTGGGTGGCTGGCCAGTGAAGGTGCCTTCTCTGATCCCCCCCAAGCAACAGTGGTCACTCAGGGTATAAGAAGGTCCCTTTTCCTCTGCACAGCATTACCTCAAGGGTGAGATGCTAGCAGGGGTGGGGTTTTTGGTTCTGTGCCCACCATGGCTTCATCTTCAGTGGCAGTTGGTGTGGGTTGGGGTGTGTGCTGCATTCCCATATGCTGTTAGGGCAAGTACAACAAAACCCACCTGTGTAAACACACACAGCTAAGTGATGTAGAAAGTTTCCATATAAAGGGCTGCAGTATGGAGAGGTAATGTGCAGGCTGGTACGTGGCTGTAGAGGTCACCTTGCTGCAGCTCTCCACTGATCAGCCACGGTCCGCTTGTACAGAAGCTATGGTGTGGGCACCCAGAAGTGCCCTCTAAGCAGGTGTGGCCTGGCTGGGGTCCTGGGAGAGGCAAGCAGACTAAGGGGTGCTGAGGTCAGACCAGCCCCATCTCATGTGCAAGACTGCCCAGCAGAGATCAGGTCTCAGAGGAGAACTCTCTCAAAAGTGAATCCTCAGCACAGCACAACTGCTCTACACAAACGCGGCCAGACTTCTTTTTTAAGCAAGTCCCCCTTTTTAGGAAGAGAACTCTTAGACCTGATCTGTGCTGGGCAATCTTGCACGTGAGATGGGGCTGGTCTGACCTCAGCACTCCTTAAGTGCTGGGATAAAGTGTCTCATAAGAGCAAGTGGAGCCTAGAGTCATAGATGTCCCTGCCCTCCGGGCTCCACATCAGCTGACTTGCTGCTCCACCACTTTCCTTGTCTCCTGGGGGCTCCACCCCAGAGAGGTGTAAGTTAGGAGTTACTTAATGTAATCACCCCAGGATGGAGGGTCTGTGCTGTGGGCCCAAGCCAGGGTTCCTTGTCTGGTGATGAGCAGTAAGGGGTGTGTTGTACCCGTGGAAGATGGACTGACTTGTTCCTTGTGTCAACTGCAGCTTGTTGGAGGTGTCAATATGGCACTTAGGGTCTTTGCTCCCTTGATATTCTGAGGGTAGCAAGGGCAGTTCCACTGCAGAGGCAGTGGCAGAGAGGATTTCTGTTGCTCCTGGAAGCTCTGTCCAGGGAGTTGCTGAGTTGCTACTGGCTTGAAGGCTCAAGTGGGGGGCTGGCTGGAGACCCAGGCCAGGAAGACCTGCCCATCATGGCCCACCCCTCTCTCTGGGAACTCTGTCCCAGGAAGGTTTCAAATCTCCATTGGCCAGGGAACACTGGTGGGTGTAGCTGGAGGCCTCAGGTGGGAGATCCTGTCCAGTGACGAGGAACAGGATCAGGGGCCTGCTTACAGAAGCATTCTGGCCATGATTTGGTAAAGCAGCTGTGCTATGCCACAGGATCTCTTCTGTCCCTGGTGAGTTTGTACTCTCCAAAGCCCGCACGCTGGAATGACTAAGTTGCCCAAACAGGAAAGATGGTGGCCTGCCTCATCTTTTCTCTCAGAATTTATCCTGTGTGATGGAGCTTAATTTTTAGGTTGTTAATTTTACTGTCAGCGTTAGAGTTGTTCAGAAAGAATCTCACTGTTATCTTTTAGGTGAGATATATAAGAATTCATTTTCTCCTGTAAATAAACCTGTTGATGTTTGTTCTCTGGAAAGAAGTCCCTTTCAGCTATCTGACTTTGATCACAATCATGTAGAGCAGTAGTCAGTCTACAATGACATGATTGAATTTCCATTTCCAGTGTTTCCTAGTTGTGTCTTACATTCTCCAGTTCAGAACTGAGCATTCTCAGTTGTCAAAATCCTAAGCTGTCCACTGTACTTAAATACTGGTTTTCGTTAATGCTTCTTCATTCAGTTGTATAGTCTTTAGAAGTTTTTCTTTTACACTTTCAATTTCCTCCAAAATTTTATTTTCCCTTAGCTGGTTCTGATGTTTTGTTTCATCTAGTTCCAGTCTTAGCTTGGCAATTTCTTCCCGCAACATGCTGTTTTCACGCAAGAGATCTTCTTCTTTCTTATGACTAAGAGAAAGCTAAGTAAACAAAGGGAACTTTTAGTTAGCACTCAATAGAATGACATATCATGATTTCTTCTAAAATCAAAGAATGACATTTATATTTGTATAATGAAATAATTCCCATAGTGGATATTTAACTGGAAAAAAGTTGGACAAAACTTCAAATCTAGAAGAGTGTAAATTCCAAAAAGTTGAAATATTTATCTAAAGACCATGAAAAATAAATCACTAGAGGATTTTTAAGAATTTCAGAATTGGAAAAGCCTTTCTCTGAATTACAAAAAACCCAGAGGCATAAAATAGAAGATTAATACATTTGGCTACATTTTTTAAATTGGGTTTACACTCTGATATCTAACCTACAAACCACACCATCATAAGAGCCTCAGCTATGCATATATTAGGACAGAAGCAATTCCTCAAAGTTCTTTAAGTTCCTTTTTCTGAGGAATGTTTTATCAATATACTGCTTTTCTAATATTTTTACAGTCAGTTATAAGAATTACATTTATTCATAACTGTTAAATCTAAGCATTGTACCCTTCTACAATGTACACACCGGCATCTAAGCATTGCACTTCTACATACAACACTCAACTCATTTAAGATCACGATTCTTAAAAGGAGAGGTCAAAAAATATATGCAGCCAGGACCAGTGGCTCACACCTGTAATCCCAGCACTTCAGGAGGCTGAGGCAGGAGAATCGTGTGAACCTGGGAGGCAGAGGTTGCAGTGAACTGAGTTTGTGCCATTGCACTCCAGCGTGGGTGACAGTGCAAGACTCCATCTAGAATACACACACACACACACACACACACACACACATATATATATGCAACGTGCAAGATTTTTGCCAGGTCTTCTGATGCTACTGTTAGTGATCCTCCACAAAATCAGTTGCTTCTGTGGTGTAAATATATAAATACAAAAGAAGCCTTTTATTTCAAAATACAAATGGTAAATAAGATATAACTTACAAGGCTTTTCTTAGAAATCATGAGATTATTTGCCATTGCAATAACTTTTCTTTCCTCTTCATAATGTTTGAAACATTATAGTAGTAAGTGTGAAATACGGGAAACGTACTGAACTATTCATCTGGGAACAAAATACTTATCAATAAATTATCACTAAATGTGTATCATGGCATGTCATTGTTTTCAAAGCTCTTTGCATTGAATTGAGAAACTACTCGGAGCAAACTGTTCCTCTCCTCAAAAGCAAGGATAATGACATCCACAATGTGGCCTCTGACCCAGCTGTACATTTCCTACTTTCCTATTAGTGAAAATAACAAACTGACTTCTCTATTAATATTTTAAAAAGAACTAATGTCCCAAAACTAGCAAATCTGTTGTTAGTAGCAAAACTTATTTTTGATATTGGAAAGATAATCAATTCTTATGAAAAATATCAAATGCTTTTCCTTTGGATTGAGGCCATTGTGAAGGTCACTACTCGACTGTTGCAGGCAAATGCAGTTGAATTAAGAACATGGCTTTATCCTATGTGTACATATATAGATATATGACCAAGGATATACAGGGTGTGTGTATATATATGATTTAAAAATCCTTTATACCTTCCAAAATAAAGCTTTTTAAAAATATACACACATATGAAAACATTTGATAATGACTAAAGAAAATACCTCAGAATTCATTTCCTTTTCAGCCACTTCTATCTGCTTTTGTTTATTAGTCAGAATCTCATCTTGTGATATTCCAGTGTTCTGTTCTTCAGAAAGTTGTTTCTGGGTATCATTTTGTTCGTCACTAGAAGAAATTTTAATTTTCATGAAATACTGGAGGTGTCCCTAAAATGATCTACAGGGCAAGATGGCACCATCAGATGTCATTCACACAATGTATATCTGCACATTAATCCAAGACAAGGCAAAGGGGCCTCACATCTGTTAACCCTGCTCTCCCAGTCATGTTGGCACCAGGGACTAGTTTTGTGGAAGATAATTTTTCCATGGACCTGAGGTGGGGGATGGTTCCAGGATGATTCAAGCACATTACATACATTGTGCACTTCATTTCTATTATTACTAATATATAATGAAATAATTATATAACTCACCATCATGTAGAATCAGTGGGAGCCCTCAGCTTATTTTCCTGCAACTAGATGGTCTCATCTAGGGGTGACAGGAGATGGTGACAGATCATAAAGCATTAGATTCTCATCAGGAGTGAACAACCTAGATCCCATGCATGAGCAGCTTGCAATAGGGTTCAAGTCACACTCTTATGAGAATCTAATGTCACCGCTGATCTGACAGGAGGAGCAGCTCAGGTGGTAATGTGACAGAGAGTGGCTGTAAACAGATGAAGCTTCACTTGCTCATCTACCACTAACTTCTTGCTGTGTGGCCCAGGTCCTAACAGGCCAGGGACTGGTACTGGTCTGTGGCCTGGGGATTGGAAACCCCTGTGTTAACTCAAACTTTTTACGTTTATTTTTTGGAAACAGTTTCCACTTATATTCTTTATTCCTCTGTAATTTATAGACAAATTAGAAATTCCCTTTGGAACAAGACAGGGTCTAATATTGTGTTTTTAACATAGAACTTTGAATTAATTTTATCTGTGTATGAGAGAGAGATGTGAAATAAACTGATCATTAATCGCTTTCAATTTCACTTTTATTTCATGCATATTAAGAAGAAAACTGGGAAGCCCTAGGCAGAGCAATTGGGCAAGAGAAATAAAGGGCATCCAAATTGGAAAAGAGAAAGTCAAACTCTCTCTTCACCAATGATATGATCTTATGCCTAGAAAACCCTACAGACTCCTACAAAACACTCCTAGATTTGATAAATGAATTTAGTAAAGTCTCAGAGGTTACAAAATATACAAATACCAATGAATAGTACCACTATACACCAACTACAACCAAGCTGAGAGTCATATCAAGAATCCAATCCTTTTTACAATGGCTGCAAAATAGTAAAATACCTAGGAATATACTTAATGAAGGAGGTGAGTGATCTATCAAAGGATAACTGGAAAACGCCACTGAAGAAAATCATAGATCATACAAATAAATGAACATACATTCTATGTTCCTGGACTGAAAGCATTGATATTGTGAAAATGCCATAGTGCCCAAAGTAGTCTACAGAGTCAATACAGTTTCTACCAAAGTACCAATGTCATTCTTCACAGAGTTATTTTAAAAAGCTGTCATTCATGTAGAACCACAAAAGAGCCTGAATAGCAACAGACATACCAAGAAAAAGGAACAAACATGTTGGCATCAAATTACCTGACTTCAACTCTAAGGCCACAGTAACAAACATCATGGTACTGGTATAAAAGTAGATACACAGATCAATGGAACAGAATAGACAACTCAGAAAAAAGGCCACTTACAACCAAATGATCTCTGAGAAAGGATACAAAAACATACACTGGAGAAAGTACACGTTATTCAACAAATGGTGCTGGGAAAAAAAGATAGTCACATATAGAAGAATAAAATTGGATCTCTATCTCTCACCATGTAAAAAATTAATTCAAGATGGATTAATGGCCTAAACCTAAGACCAGAAGACATTAGCCTAGGCAAATAATTTATGATGAGGACCCTGAAAGCAAAAGCAACAAAAATAAAAATAAATAAATAAATAAATAAATAAATAAATAAAGACCTAATTAAACTAAAAAGCTTCAGCACAGCAAAAGAAATAATCATCAAAGTGAGCCAACCACTTATACAATGGGGAAAATATGGGCAAATTATGAATCTAACAAAGGATTAATGTCCATAACCTACCAGAAGCTCAAACAAATCAGCAGGAAAAATACAAACAATTCCATTAAAAAGTGGGCACATGACATGAATAGACATTTTTCAAAAGAAGATGTACAAATGGTGAACAAGAATATAAAAACATGCTAAATATTACTAATCATCAGGGAAATGTACAATAAAACAACAGTGAGATATCACCTCACTTCAGCCAGAATGGTCACTACTAAAATAAAAAAAACAGCAGATGTTGGTGTGGATGTGGTGAAAAAAGAAGATTTATACACTGCTGGTGGGGATACAAATTAGTACAAATCTATGGAAAACATTATGGAGAGTTCTGTTAAAGTAGATCTTACCATTCTATCCAGCATTCTCATTTCTGGATACCTACCCAAAATAAAAGAAATCATACTCTCAAAAAGACACCTATATACATATGTTTACTGCAGCACAATTCACATATGCAAAGATATGTTATCAGCCAGTGTCCATCAACTGATGAGTGGAATAAAGAAAATTATATATATATATATATATATATATATATATATATATATATATATATATATATGTATGTATACCTGAGACTGGGTAATTCATAAAGGAAAGAGGCTTAATTGATTCACAGTTACACATGGCTGGGAAGGCCTCAGGAAACTTACAATCATGGCAGAAGGTAAAGGGGAAGCAGGCAACTTCTTCAAAAGGTGGCAGGAGAGAGAGAAGTGAAAGGGAAAGAGCCCATTATAGAATTATCTGCTCTTGTGAGAACTCACTATCAAGAGAACAGCATGGAGGAAACCGACCCCATGATCCAATACCTCCCAGCTGGTCTTTCTCTCAACACCTGGGAATTACAATTTGACATGAGATTTGGGTGGAAACACAAAGCGAAACTATTGGGGGGGGTGTATCCTTACTTTTAAAATATCAAAATGTCATTATTTATATTTCAAAAATAGCAATTTTTATTAGTAATGATTTTGTTTGAAAATAAAATGACCTGGTAAATTTTCTTCAATTTTAGCCTAGTATTTAGTCAAAATATAAAAAGCTGAATTTGCCAGCAGAAAACTGTAATTACTTTTAAATGAGGTAAAGATGTATAAGAATATCACTGTTATTGTACTGAGAAGAAAGTGAATGAGAAAAGGAATTTAAAAAGAGAGTATCACTACCATATACATACATGAACTGACAAAGAGACTAAAATCTCCTACTGGAGATTATGTTAGGACTTGAGCAAAAGCTTCTAAAAATACCAAAAACAGAAAGAAAATAATTAATTTTAAGGAATAAATTATACAGAGAAATATGTATTTTAAAAAAGGAAAACAGATCTTCCTGAGAGCTATTATTAACCAATTCATCCTGACCAAAATTTTAAAATGAAGTCTACAATTCTGGAATATAAAGTACTTTCATTTTGAACATAGTTAATTGAAGGCAACTTTTATACAGAAAATTTTTGGTTAAAGTTGACTCTAACTTAGGAAAGAAATGACTTGTACCAATGGTAACAACAAGCCACCCAAAAGCCAGTTTGAAATCTAGTCAATCAATCAATGACCACTGCTCTTGCTCACCAACCAATATCAATGTGAGCAGCTTGCTTCTGAAATACAGCCACGCAGCAGCACCTGCTCCACCAGAATAGACAGTGCCTGACCAGTATTCCTCTTACTATAGGAAGCAAAAAATTCCAACTCTGTATCTTTATTTCAAATACCAAAGGTTCATAATCCCTTGAAAAGAATTTGTAAGTCCATTAAATGTGCCACCCTAATTTTTTTTTAAATAAAATACTAGTGGCCAGGCACAGTGGCTCATGCCTGTAATCCCAGCACTTTGAAAGGCCGAAGTGGGTGGATCACCTGAGGTACAGAGTTTGAGACCAGCCTGACCAACAGGGTGAAACCCCATCTCTATTAAAAATACAAATATTAGCCAGGCGTGGTGGCATGCCCCCGTAATCCCAGCTCCTTGGGCGGCTGAGGGAGGAGAAATGCATGAACCAGAAGGCGGAGGTTGCAGTGAACTGAGATCATACCACTGAACTCCAGCCTGGGGGATACAGCAAGACTCCATCTCAAAATAAAATAAAATACCAGTAAAGTTTACAATTCCTCTGACTCAGTTTACCATAATTACAATTATGTTTACTAGTAAAAGAATAAATAGTGAATAACCACAATATTGGGCTTTTCTCTCTAAATAAAAAAATAATATAAAGAATGTAGCTTATTATAAAGAGCCAAAACAATTTTTAAAATGCATGTAATTACCGGGCAAAACTGTTAGAATGAACCATGTCAAACATTTTTAAAGTGAGAATTAATCAAACAATATATCCAGGATAAACTCCATTCACTCATTTAATAAGTATTTATTAGGTAGCTTCATCCAATATGCTAGGCCTTTTTCTAGGCAGTGAGGATATGGTAGTGAAAAATAAAAACCCCATTCATGAGAGTGAGAAAAACACACAATAACAACAGACAGATAAGGCAAAATATACAGTATGTTAGAGGAGAAAAACTAAAGCAGGAAAATGAAATGTTTATGTGTTTCATGGGGAGGGTGGTGGGAAAGTTGGGGTGGTCAGAAAAGTCCCTGCTGAGAAAGGGGATTTTTTTTTCTAATACAAAAAACCTTTTATTTGTATATCAAAGACTCTAAGAAATGACGACATAAGGTTAACGGCATTGATGTCAAGATACAAATGGGTTTGAAGTTAGAGATGTTAAATCACTTTGTTTCACTGAACCTTCCCTTCATTACGTTAGAGAGCATCCCTGGTAGGCACCCAATTGAACCTCAAGCATGACGCGTCTAGGTAGCACGCTGTTCTTCCTCAGAAAGTGGTTGTTCCTTAATGTCTTTCTTTTTACCCTTTTTCCTCTTCTTCTTAGAAAGGGGGTTTTAAATAAAGAAGTGAAGGAATGGAAAGAGAAAGCTAGGAGGATAACTGGGGAAAAATCATTCCCGACACAGGGAACTGCGAATCACAGAGGTGTGCCTGGCATCTTTAAGCACTAGGGGTAGATAAGGGACGGCAAGAATTCAGTTTGGCTGAAGCAGAGCAAGGGAGATAATTAGGAGGAACTTTGACACATACTCCGAGTGAAATGGGAGATAATCAGAAGGGCTGGGGCAGAGGAATGACACAATTTGACTTATGTTTTAAATACATCCACTGAGTTAAGAATTGATGAAAAGGGAAGTTTTTAAAAACCAGGACTATCAATTCCCAGTCTATGACACTCATCTAGACTGCAGATGAGGGTGGCTCAGATGTACAAGATATGACTGACTTCTGGACATATTCTTCAGGTAGACCTGACAAGATTTACTGAGAGATTAGATGTGAGGTGTCAGAGAGAGAGAGAGATGAGTCAAGAATGACACCGAGATATTTGGCAGAGCAACTGGAAGAGTTGCCCTTAACCAAAAATAGGAAAGACTACATGAGGTGCAGATTTCAGGAAGGACATCAGTAGCCCAATTTTGGATCTGACAAGTGTGTGATACCCAATAACTAACCAAATAGAGACGTCAAGTAGGCAGGCTGATATAGAAATCTGGAATTAAGGAGAAAGATCTGAGCTGGAGACATACATTCAGAAATCACTAGCATATACACAGTAGAAAAAGTCACGAGGGGCCAGGTGCAGTGGCTTACACCTGTAATCCCAACAGTTTGTGAGACCAAGGCAGACAGATCCCCTGAGGTCAGGAGTTTGAGACCAGGGTGGCCAACATGGGGAAATGCTGTGTCTACTAAAAATACAAAAATCAGCTGGGCACGGTGGCATGCACCTGTAATGCCAGCTACTCAGGAGGCCGAAGCAGGAGAATTGCTTGAACCCAGGAGGCAGAGGTTGTAGTGAGCCGAGATCACACCACTGAACTCCAGCCTGGGAGACAGAGTGAAACTCTGTCTCCAAAAAAGAAAAAGAAAAAGTCACAAGAAAGAAGACTGAGGAGTGAGCCCTGGGAAACAACAATGTCCAAAAGGAGAAAGATGAGGAGGAGCAAGCAAAACAGACCATGATGAATGGACTAGAAAGGCAGGAGGAAAAGCCTGAGGGAGTGAGGTCCTGAAAGCCAAGTGAAGATGCCGTTAGGGAGGAGATGCCCTCCATTGGCTCAAATATTGCTGACAGATTAAATAAAATGAGGTGGAAGAAAAGTGCCTAGATTTATTACAGAAAAAAATTAGTGATAATCTTGAGGAAAAACAATGCTGGAGGACTGCTGAAATTGAAGACTTACTGGCATGAGATCAAGAGTGAATGAAAAGAAAATTTGAGTTCGTGAGTGTAGACAGTTCTTTTAAGGACATCATACTTAGGAGTCATGGCTGAGAATGTTGTAATTTTCTTCCACAGTCATGGAAAAGTAATAGACAAATAGTTTCAAATTTTACATAAAAGGTGTAGTTTTCAAATTTTATATAACAATTATATATTTTAAAGCTTATAAAAATTATACACATGTGGCATTAAAAATGCCAGACCAAGGTGTTAAATCTTAAAACTATAGAACTAAAAGTTGCCTTGACCATTTCTAGATTACATAAGCTAATTATCATTTTGTTCATGCTTATACATAAAGACCAAGAAAAACTAAAAGTTTCAAGGAGAGTATTTCTTGCTTGATAAAAATCAGCCAATTCTAGGACAGTTGATGCTCATCGAATATACAAAGTAATTGATCACCATAAAATACTGAATTCTATTAACAGGAATAAAGTGGCAGAAATGCAGAAAATAATCTTATTTTACAAATGAAATTTTTAAAAATATATGAAGTCACTGTGGAAAAATATGGTGAGGTGAATACCAAAATATATCTTTTTCTCAAAGGAAAGATACTGTCACACATGCTGGGCACTTTTATAAATAAGTGTTACTGCATTAGCAGCACCTTCCTTTTAGCACAAGGGTCAGCAAATTAGCACCTGTGGGCCAAATCCAGGCCACTGACTGTTTTTGTAAGTAAAGAATCTTGGAACACAGCCATGCTTATTCACTTTACAGTCCATAGAGTCAATTAGCTGGGTGTGATGTTGCACACTTGGGGTCCCAGCTAATAGAGAGGCTGAGGTGGGAGGAGGATCACTAGAGCCCAGAAAGTCAAGGCTGCAGTGAGCTGTGATCACACAATTGCACTCCAGCCTGGGCAACAGAGACCCTGTCTCAAAAAAAATAAATATATATAGTCCACAAAGCCTAAAATATTTACTAAATGGCTCTTTGCAGAAAAAGCTGGCCAGCTCCTGGTTTAGCAGATGAAAGATACTTTGATATATTTTAATAAAAGTTTTACCCAATATACTCAAATGTTTATATTAAATATAGGTCCCCATGTACAATCCCTTGGCAATATTCAGATTGAAGGTCCAATATTTTGGCACTCAGGCACTGACAACAAAAATTTAATAACTACCAATCTCGTTGCTAACAAGGTACAGTGTCAATGTAGCGTGTAGCTTCCATTTGCAACACAGCAGATATTACAAGAATTCTAACAAAATTATCTTAAGATGTGTTACCAAACTAAATGCTTTAAATACATTTTAATTGTGAAATAATCAGTATACTCTAGATCTAACCTCATTTGTAAAAAATGTTTGCATACCGTATTATTTTCTGGGTATGAAAATTGAGCCATTTCCTATTGGTAAGGATTTACTTTTGATAATGATAAATTCCTATTGATAAGGATCCATCTTTTTGATATAATAACGCTGTAAGAAATGTCCTTATACATAAGTATATATGTGACAAATCTATACAAATATCCTTAACATACATATATATACTTACTATGTTATATATGTGTGTGTGCAAATATGCTAATAAATTAATGTTCAAAATATATTTACCAACAGTGTATGAATTGTCTTTTTCAATGAGACCGTTTCCTTTGCAGCAACACACATGGAGCTGGAGGCCATTATCCTAAGCAAACTAATGCAGGAACAGAAAATCAAATGCCACATATTCTTACTCATTTGTGGGAACTAAACAATGAAAACTCATGGACACAAAGAGGAGAATAACAGACACCAGGGTCTACTTGAGGGTGGAGTGTGGCAGGAGGGAGATGACCAAAAAACTACCTCTCGAGTATTTTGCTTATTATGTGGCTGATGAAGTAATCTGTAGTCCAAACCTCCATGACACAGTTTACCTATATAATAAACCTACACATGAACTTCTGAAGCTAAAATAAAAGTTCATTAAAAAGAAAAGGAAATGCCTTTTCCCTCACATTTGCCAATGCCGGTTATTTTTCAAATAAATTAATGACTGGAAAAAACGGTAACTCATTGTTTACTGATTTTCATTTTTCTGATTAACAGGCAAGGCTGAATATTCTAGTAAAAGTATAAAATTTGTTCATCATGAAAGCCCAAATTAGGATTAGTTTGACAGCATATAGTTATCTCCTATTAAATGTTGCCATAGGCTCACCTGTGATACTCTTCATTCTCAGTGTCAGGAAATTGCTGATTTTCAGGTTTTCTGCTCTTCCTTTGTGGAATTAATCCATCATCACCATTGCCAGCACTGGCACCATTAGTCAGGTTTTCTGGTAATCCCACAGGATTACTTCCATGCTTCTTTATTTCTTCTTCAACCTTGAGTGGAAGTTTGATATTAAGGATGGTTATCACTTTATTGAATAAAAATAACCTTTTTAATTGATTTTATCAATTGACTCAGTTTGCCATTATTTTAGTCATTAAAAATATTTCACACTTAAATTTGATCATATATACAGAACTATAACTGTATAATTTTAAGATGTAATTATCATGTCATTAGTATATCACTGAAATTTTTGTAAAGTTTGCTTGATTCCAGCTGTTTGACTGAATAAAACAGAATTTTCCAAAATTCAAAAAGGGCCCTCCTTCATTTTGTGCTTTTATTCCCAAAAACTCTTCAGAATCTTATATATGAATTTACCCCATTTGACTCGTGGGAACACAAAAATAAAACGACATAGACACAAAATGTGTCTTCTGTCTTTACCACCTAGATTTTACATTAAACACTCAGATGTAGAGGATGAGACACTGGGGGGCTTCAGGAATAGAAAGGAAGATGGCCCTTTTCTGCACTAAGATATTCTCCTCCCCCACTGCCTTTGATCGTTCTTTTTTCATTTGGTTCCTGGATATCAAAAACATGATGGTGCTCACTGAAACATGAAAACCAAAGTTTGCCACAACACAAGGAGCAGAGTGAAACTGCTGAGGTGCAAGCATGGAATTCCAGAAAATTAGATGCTCCCCAAATTTCACATTCAATAGCTATACAATTTTCCAGCTGGAAATTACAAAGAATAAGTAATTATCTTCTTTAGCCACATTATCTAGTGATAATCAGACTAAAACCAAGAAAGATAAAAGGATTGGTCCAAATCTCCTAAAGTGGCATTACCTAGCATTTTATGGCACCATTCAGGATTGTTCCATAATAATGAAAGAATCTCTCTAGGGTTTGTATCTCTTGAAAACTCAATGTACAGAATTCTTTCTGAGTTAAATATTAAATTTTTCACTGGTGATTTATGCTACTTACATGATAGGATCATGTATGCGTACACTTACTACACTTTGTTAAACAGCATAACATAAAAATCTAATTCCACAGAAACATTTGAACATAAAGGTATACCTCTCTATCACAGTCCTTATTTATTTCTGGTTCTTGAGACATTTTCTGCAGATGCAAAAATAGAAGGTTAATTTGCTTGTTGTATTTCCGTGTATGTCTCCTCTTTTGGAATGCATGTTAAAATAATTTTATTCTTAAGTAATCAAGTATGGACATGAAAAATTAGAAAATAAAATAAAATTTAACTGTTAAAATAATTAAATAAATAAATAATTAAAATTAAGAATTAACTTTTTAATCTATGTTTAGCTACTGCCACATCATTGGCTTCTGACTAACATGGGAAAATAATTCACCTTAGACAAAGGGAGAATAAAAACATGAACCAGCAAACTTAACTTTGTCACCATTTGTTTGGACTAAACTTAATTTGTTATGTGTTAAATCTACCAAAAATGAATTAGCAGATGATTTGTAGTGTTCCAAGGGCTTCCTCACTTGAAAAGAGTATATCTCATGAAACCCTAACTAGTGAGCCCCTATAGTGCACTGAAGTGCTTTTTAAAAAGATTCCTAATTGGATTGTAGGCACGCTTTAAATTATTAGGAGCTGAAATCAACACCAAACAGGAAGAAATGCAAATTCTTAAATTTTAATTGAAATTATATGCTGTAATATGATAGTGTTATGTATCTAGATGATCTGCTTAAGTCCAGTTCTAATATATTCTAAGGTGTACTAATTACAGTGGATAAAAATTTTTTAATAATCTGTACTGATTTTCTGCAACTAAAATAAGGTAGAAGGTTATTGTGTTTGTGCACTAACACCAAATGTCCCATTCTGCAAGATATGATTCTTGTAATAGGCAGTTGGGTTGCTTTTATGACCTGGTTCCCTCCCTGAACAGAAATGCTGAGGTCAGTGAGAGACCACAAGGCAGAATATGTCTTTAACCTTGGTATCAGTGACTGACAATATAAAACTGCAGATTTTCAATCACTGGCCGTGATTATTCTTTAACCATGAATCCAGCTCAGGGACCTTCAGTGTTACATTGTTCACAGTTCTATTGCTTAATAATATAATCCAATAATTGATGGTACTTTATCATGTTAGGGTGTTGTAAAAATAAAAGAACAAACAAAGGTCTGGAATATGTTTTTGCCTCTATTCCAAAAGGAAAGATTAGCTATAAGCTAATCAAAAAGGCAGATAAGAATATTTTAAATAAGAATACCATAAAATAAGAGTATTTTAAATTTTATAGTGGTTACGTTTTTAAGCTAAATATCAAATGTTAAGTTAGAATTTATTAATTCTTCTGTTAATGAGATTGCTGAATTTATTAAAATAAATTTTAAGAATCTATTAAAAAATTCTTAAAAAAAGAATCTATTGATTCTTAAAACCTAGTCTGAAAGGTAATTTCATTTGGACTATCTAATATTATTCAAGCAAAGAAAACAACGTTAAATCAAAAATTTAAACTTAAAATTTTCCATGCCTCTGGCTGGCTATTTTCACTGACTTTAAGCCTTTGTGACTCTTCCTCTGATGTCAGCTTTAAGTCTTGTTCTGTTGAGAAATCCATATATTCAGTTAAAATGAACCACTTAGAACAGTTAAAAACTATTGCCTTTATAAAAATAGATTGAAGACAACATTTTATTTTATTTCATAAACTGAGTGTTTAGTCTTTCATGAAATAGTTACTTAGGAAATAATTCTCCAAAACTTCAACAAACCACTTGGGGAGACACCTGATGTGATTCACTCACAAATTCATCCACCCAACATAAATGAACAAAACCACCAGAAACACAACTTCAAAATACAGTAGAAACATATAAGGTAACTCAGTATGTTGTTCACTTCCTAATAGTGAAGCAGTAAATGTAAAGAAAAGGAAATTTAGTTTTAAAGAGAAACAAGTTTTCCTGCACTTAGCTAGTCTGACTCTAAGGATAGTAACAAGCAGGCCCAGGAAAGGTCATGGTGACCCTGTCTGAGAAGCCAGAGCCCACAGGTATGGGCTCCAGACATCCCAGAGCAAGGTTAAGAAAACAAATTCCTTTACCATCTCCCCTCCCCCTCAGCATTTATTCATAGCTATTTTTACAAATGCATATATTTTGCAAATTCTTGTTTTCCTTCAATGCAGCTGCAAGGTCACAAGCTATGCAGTGGTTGCAAAACTGTCACTATATGATTAACTGCCTTTGTTCTGCTTCTATAAGTTTGCCTATATAAGCCAAGCCCTGTCTTTGTTCAGGGCTCAGCTTTTTGATGCAAATCCGCTGAGCTGGTGTGCACCTAAACAAAATCCTCTTGTTTGACCCACTGGGTCTCTCCTGCCTCCTGTTTTCTGCAAAAATAGTACCTTACAAACGATTTCCAAAATTACTACTGACACCTTTATTAGTGTACAATGTCTTCTTAACATCTAAAATGTTTCCATCCACTATTATGACAAATTTATTTTCATTTTTCTTTTTTTTTGTTTTAGCTGGGGTCTTGCTCTGTCACCAGGCTGGAGTGCAGTGGCACAATCTCAGCTCACTGCAACCTCTGACTCCCTGGTTCAAATGATTCTCCTGTCTCAGTCTCCTGAGAAGCTGTGATTACAGGCACACACCATCATGCCCAGCTAATTTTTGTATTTTTAGTAGAGATGGGGTTTCACCATTGGCCAGGATGGTCTTGATCTTTTGACCTTGTGATCCACCTGCTCCAGCCTCCCAAAATGCTGCAATTACAGGTGTGAGCCACCACACCCAGCCTTGTTTTCATCTTTTAAAACAATGCTATGGGAAGTCTTCCTTGATTCTGCAGATCTTTCCCCAGATAAACAGGTAACTCCTTCCTTGAGGTTGCCTTAGGACCTCACTGATTTTTCTACTGCACCTTTACCACCTGAACTGTACACTATTCCTCCACATGTCTGTCCCCTCTGCTCCAAGACTGCAGAGGACAGTCTTGCACATCATCTTTGTAAAAACAGTCTTTATTTTACTCAGAAATTTCTTATTGAGTCCTGCTACATACATGCTAGGTGTTAGGGTTTAAAAAGAATGAAAATAAAGCCTGTCAGGGATGGCTTTTCTAGAACACCTGCCCAAGCAGAGACTTAAATATTGAGGCTAGCTAGATTAAAAGTGGTAGAGGGCAAGAAAGGGTGACAGCATGCCACACAGCAGCAAGAGCAGGAGCGAGGCCTGAAAGAGTGAAAGTATTTGCCTGCAATAGAAGGAGGAGTGAGTAGGGCATTAAGAGCCACTCAGTAATGCCAGAGAAAGGGCACACAGGGAAAAGGGCTAAAGATGTAGAATAGGGCAGAAGTCAGATTATGAAAGCCTTATGTGTACCTTTAAGATGCTTAGACATTAACGTTCAAGAGTGGTCCCTGGTCCTATCTGTATTAAGATGTAGATCATTTTAATGCCAAAACCAATATTCCTAGTGAGCCATTATTCATTAAGACAAGGTGACAGCTAGCTCATGTGGACACAGCTGAGATGATACTATGTAGCAAATTCTCAATAATTCTCATGAACACTTGGAAAGTCAATTCTATAATAAGTCATAGAAATTATAATAAATCACTTAATATTTGTTTGGGAAGGTGCTTTATAAAGTTATAGTGTATATGAATATAACTAATAGTTGTGAATTCAGAGCTGTGAGAATAAAGCAAAAAAATCACACTGTGTTTGAGTCAGCAATCTTTAGATTTCTATCTAGTCTTCCTACCCAGTCCATAAATTCTAAGTATAATCCTAGTACTCGCTCTCAAGTTTAAGTTAAATGCTAGCCTATACAAAAAATACTCTTTCTCTTACTTCTTTTTTGTTATTTATATGTTGCTTTGTTTAAAGGAAGAACACAAAAATGCCCTGCTAAAGGGATTCTGTTTGGCTGCAGGCTGCAAGAGGGGAAAAACACAAAGCACATTTTGCAGAAAATGATTTTTTAGAAGTCAGAACTATGACATGAAGTCAAGCAGGGCACTCTAGGACTGACTTTGCTGTGCTTCCTTAATATGCTCCTTGCTCTCTTTCTTTTCTGGAAGCTGTGACTCACACAGGTCATGGAGAAAATTTCGTACTCCTTCCTCATTCCCAGCTTAAATACTAGTGTACAACGTGGAAACCTGTAAATTATCTGACATTTCTCTCTGTCCTCCAAACCTTTCTCATTCAATTATCACTAAATCATATTGACTATACCTCTCTTCTGCCTCTGCTTTATATTACCACTTCCACTGAGAACATAAACATTTACAAAATGGCTTTTATTACAAAAAAGCCTTCCAACTATTAATGTTATTTCTTACATGAAAAAAATTAAGCAAAACAAATGAAAAAAGCATAACACCAAAAAAAGGCCAACACATTAAAATGAGTAACGGGGATTCCAAACTTTATTTCACCATGGGCAGGTGAAAACCTTAGAATACATTGATACTAGTCCAAGGATGTGTGACATGGAAACTATAGCTGACTACTGCAAAAGCTTCCTTTGTCTCCTGGTTTCTTTACATGGTTATCTTCCATCAATCCCAGCAAACTATAGGCCACAGGACAAATCCAATCTGCCTTTTGGCTTTGTAAATAAAGTTTTATAGGAGCTCAGTCATGCCTGTTTGCTTACATATAATCATGGTGGCTTTCACACTACAACAACAGACAACAGCCTGGTTAAGTAGATATGACAGAGACCACATAGTCTAAAATATTTCCCACCTGGTCCTTTACAGAAAAAGCTTGCTAACCCATTTTACACCATAAGCAGAATATGCCTTAATATTCAAATTTAATCTTGTAACTCCCCTGCTCAAATTTCTCCAATGAGCCCCTGCAGCACACATTGTTGGCTCCTATCAATAGCCATTCCTTATTCTTTCTTGCAGAAGAAACACAAGTCTATTGGGATATTTATTATCCCAATCCCCCTCCTCAGCCTCAGAAAGAGAAATGTTTATTCTAAGCTAATCATGTATTTGCCATCCCATTGCCTGGTTTGGGAATGAGCATGTGGTGTGACCCAGCCAATGAAATGTTACAGGAAGCCCCTTGCATGCTTCTAAGTTTTCTCCCTGTTTAAAAGACACATGTGAAGAAAAGCAGCCCTTGAAATGTTGTGTTGTGAGAACAAGATGTTTGGAGCTGCTGCGGATTAGCCAACCACGAAAGGAAACATGAAGAAAACACTGCCAACAGCACAGCTGAAAGAGGGACAAATGGGATCCTAGGATATCACTGAACAACCAAAACAACTCTGGTTCCTACTGTTTTAGCCACTGCTCATCTAGTATTTACAGTCCAAAGCATTCTACCTGGTAAATTTCCCATGGCCCACAGGGTAAGACCTACTCATTTCTATAGTATTAAAAAAGTCTATCATAAACTTGCCTTAGCTAAGTATTCACCTCATTCCCAAACTCTGGTGTCTCACACTTTTGGTACTAGCAAAAGTGAACTGCTCAGAAACCCTGCAAAGTTCACTCGGCATCTTGTCTTTTGCAGTTGTTGCTCTTCCTGCCAAACAGGCAATCTCATCAGATGTTCTTCTGGCAAACACACAAACTTGTTGCAATTTCCTCCTGCCAAAAATTATTCTTCTGCTTCTTTACCTAGAAAAATTCTTCTCACTCTGCATGCTTACTTTGAATCATACCTACTTTTTTTCAAAACTTTCATTCCTCATCACGTATGTCTGGCACATAATTAATACATAATAAATCATAATTATAAGCTTCCAGTTGGCATCTAGCACACAGTAGGCACTGAATAAAGTAGTAAAATAATAAAAATGACAATGATAATAACAAGCTCCTGTCTGTATTTTTAATTGTGTGTGTTCTGTAGCATTAGAAAAATGATTAGTATCTAAAAGACATTTGATAGTTATTTGTTAAGTGGACAAGTGAAAACATAGAAATGTTTTCTTTGTAAATTCTGTTGAAAAAGCACAGAAATGAAATAGAGACACCTCTATTATGAGCACCTTAAAGATCAAAACTACATCTATTCCATCTTTGTCTTCTGCAACTTATAAAACCTAACTTACAGAAGCTTTTTGATAAATAGATGGCTAAATTAAAGGTGTCCTCATCCAGTTTGGATTATACAATGTATTAGGTGTCCACAACCAGGTGGCATACTAGTATTTTTGTTAATGTGAAGCATTTTTCTACTTTTATTATAATCTGCTGAGCCTAGAGTTGGGCAATTTGTATATTTATTATGACAATCTTTTGGTAAATGGTAGCAGAGCATCTTGTTCTAACAAAATTACTGTTATCAAGACAATTGACCAGCAGGTAGAGAACACATCTTGTTCCAACAAAGTAAATGTATCTCTTTCCAACTTCAAATGAGGAGGAATGAAGTCAGTAAGAGTGAGACCTTGTTGGGACAAGGATATGTAACATGACTTGTGCTTTGGCGTTCTTTTGTGATCAAAAATTCCTTACTTTTATTTTTTTATCTATGGTAGGACCACCCAGAGCAGGGGTCCACAACTCCCAGGTCACAGACTGGTACCAGTCCATGGACTATTATGAACCACACCACACAGGAGGAGGTGAGCAGCAGGCAAACCAGGGAAGCTTCACCTGTACTTACAGCCACACCCCATGGCTCATATTACCGCCTGAACTCTGCCTCCAGTCAGATCAGTGATAGCACTAGATACTCATTGGAGCATGAACCCTATTGTGAACTGCTCATCTGAGGGATCTAGGTTGTGTGCTTCATATGAGAAACTAATGCCTGATGATCTGTCACTGTCTCACTTTGCCCCCAGATGAGACCATCTAGTTGCAGAAAAATAAGCTCAGAGTTTCCACGGATTCTACATTATGGTAAGTTGTATAATTATTTCATTATATATTACAATGTAATAATAATATAAAGTAGCACAATAAATGAAACATGGCTGAATAATCCTGAAACCATCCCCACCTTCCCCCAGCCCATGGAAAGACTGTCTTCCACAAAACCGGTCCCTGATGCCAAAAACATTGTGGACAACTGACCTAAAGTAATTCATTATCACAAGTCTTACCTGGATTGCTGTTTTCAGAAGAGATTTTTAGCATCTGTTTTTCTTTATAGTCAGAAAGTAATTCACAAATTCTATGTATAAAAATGTAATAAACCAAATTACTATTTTAATACTGATATAAAAAATACTTACCAAATGTAAAATTCTTAGAGTATTTCAAACAATATCATAATATCAGAATTTAACAGTATTATCCCATACACTTATGAGTACATTCTACAAACTTTTCTTTAAGCTTCTAATTAAAGAAGAAAAAAAATTAGGTGAAATGCTCATAAATCAAGGGCACTGTGACCCAGTAAATCAGCAGGCATTAGCATGACATAATAGAAAGTGTCCCAACTCTGCATAAGTCCTAGCTCCATAATGAACAGCTATTTGTTCTTGGACAACTTTCTTCTCTTAGGCTCAATGTCTTCTTCTACAAAGTGAGGACTTTGCTGCCTTATTTCACTAGGTTGTTATAAAGATTTAACAAGGTAACATTTTTTAAATGCTCAGAGAAATAGTAAAGCAATGGAATAATCTGTTCCTAAACTTTATGACTAAAATTATCTTGGAATCCCAAATAAAACCCCATGTGTATTTTGTTCATAGGTTCTAATATGCAAATGCTGTAGTTTTCAGAAAATGTTATTAAGTCCTAATTTTGCTTCTTAGTTGTCCTACTCCTTATGGCTTATCATTCAGGGCATCTCAACTGTGTCATAGTTTGTAACTAAATTTTTTCATAAATCTCTCATTAAAGTAGATAATGTGATTGTCCACTATTACGGAGTTGACCAATTTGTTGTGCTAAGGGCAGAAAAACCAATGGATGTTAAGACCTGGCTTGGAGCAATGATCCTTCTCTACAGACTCAAACTCTGAGCCAGCAGATGTTTGTTAGGATAATGCTTTATGTTGATGTTCAATTCCAGCTGACATGGGAGACCAAAACTCTACTTTTATTTTTTTTCAGTTTTCATGAAGAAGCTGCAAATTGACATTCTCTAATTTTTGACGTACATACTTATAATATATTTTGCACTGAACACATTATTCAGCTCTAAATCATCTCACAGACCATCTTCCATGACTATTTTTGCAGCACAAATCACATTTCGATATTTTGGTGGCACCCATTTTGCTTTGATTCACACTGTTTCCTTAGAGCTAGTCAGCAAATAGTGAAATGATCTTCCAGTGACTGCACAAAATATGGAATGCTTCAAAGAGTTGTGCTGCCTCCTTATGCAGAAGCCGTGCTAACTTTCTCTGTATTGTTCCAATTTTAGGATATGTGCCGCCAAAGCAGGCACAAAGCCCTACTTTTACACATGATTTGTGATGAGTCATGGGCAAGGCTTGGCTCTTGTCCATGACTCATCACTACTTACTTAACCCACTTGAGATTCTGAGAATTCTCTTCAATGGCTTCCTGTGAGGTACAATTTGAAAATATTTTAAAATCTTGAGCTAGAGATGGAAGTAGCTTGGACGATTTTCATTATCATGTAAATCAGATCACTCAAGGGGCCAACCACAGCTGGGAGCCACTGCTTGGGGAAGGCTCATATGGGACTTTCTACTGCCTAAGGTTCTACACAGGATATAAAGGTGCCTCACAGTGTAGATCTGGTAGCAAAGAAGAAGAAACAAACACTGATCTCTTTCTGCCACATTATTTGAACCCCTCTGACCCTTTATAACAAGCCCACCTCATATCTGCTAGAGAAAAGACCAACAACGGCCTGAAAGGATCTCTTACCATGAAGGTCTCAGCTAATTCTTAGCTAAGATGTGGGTTCCACATTAGGTTCTGAATACAGGAGGAAGGGTCAATTTGCTCACTTTGTGTGCGGATAAAGTCAGGATGCCCAGCGGCCAGAGCAGGGTGCTGGTGCTTTGGGAACAATGGCTGAGCATATATAAGCATAGGTAAGGGAACTAAAAAATGTTGTAACTTCAAAGTCACTGTGTGAATCCCCATGAAGACTTGAGGGATCTGAATCAGTAAGGGCACCTTGGTGTCAAAGGTCAACAATTACCAGGCAGCAGAAGCAGTTTGAGTGGCAACAATGCAGCAACAGAAACAATGGAAACAACAGAATGATTGGAATGTCCTTTTTTCTCTCCTCCTTCTGACTTGATAAAAGGGACTGTCTTCCTTGGATTTAGTGAACCCCTTTGGTTCTTGAAAAATTCAAGGAGTATGTAGGAGACAGTCCCCAGAAGACAGTACAAGGCTTTCTGCTAAACTGGACATTTCAAGACCCAAATAACTAATCAGAAAAATCAAAGATGTGATACTCTTTTTTATGCCATGCATAGGTGTTATACTTGGATGAAATGAACAATATTGGGATCTCTAAGGATAAAGGTCTTAAAAGTCCTGAGGTAAAGAATCCTGCACCCATTGGTACTTCTAACTTGTCTTGCTTTTTGTCTGATTTCTGGCTGATGCAGGGGACTAACTCACTGCCACTCTAAAACTACCTGAACCAAACTATGACATCTCACCTGATATGTAAGATGCAATTGTTATAATTATTTTAAACCTCAATTTAGCATTAACTAGCCTTTTCATGTAAACACTTACACATGATGATGACTAGAAACAGCATACTCTCTGGCTGTCTGTCCAGATAGATCTTGAGAAGATACATCAACATTTTGCTCAAGTAGAAGATTGACTATACTTGCTGATCCACAACATACAGCAAGTATGAGGGCAGTTCTAAAATTACAGAGATAATTTCTCCTTTAGGAACTGTAATAAAGTTATTTTAAAAGCTAATTTGATATACTTTACCAATTTGACATCTTGCCTGTCCATGCAGAATCAAACATTTACATGCGCTAAAAGACATAAGCATCTTGGGTGCTCAAGAGTTCATCTTTGTAAAATACCACCAAGGTTAAAAGGAAGGGACAAAAAGGAAACCTCTTATCTCAGTGGGGTATTGCATAGCAGAAGCTACTAATTTAAAGTCCTTTGATGGGCAAGAAACAATGCTAGGGCCACTTATCTGAAGTGGACAAAGATTTAAGTGAAGATTTTGTCACAGCTTCCCTAGACTGATATGCTGTAATAGAAAATTAGCTAGGGGCTAAGATAAATAAGAGCTCTCTGCATGCTGAAAGCAGTAATATTAATAATAATGGTAAGAATAGTAGTCACAGGAGTTTCAGTTAATGATGCCAATAAGCATGTGCTACGCACTGAATTAAATGCCACATGTACCTTTCTTGCTTATGCACAGCCAACTTTGAAGGATATATTCTCCTACTTTTCACATATGACAACATATTGGGTGGTAAATCACGTTCCCAATGTCACACACGTAGCAAGTAAGAAAGTTAGGAATTAAACCCAGTCTTGTGTGAATCCAAAGCGTAGCTCTTTTCTCTTTATCACCCACCTACAGCTTGCCTTCATTAAAGGAAAAGTGTATCCACTTAAAACTATCTTCACTCCCTCTCTCCATACCAACTAAAAATAAAAACATCAAAATACACTGGAAATAAAAAAGGAAAAAAGCTGTTGAACCCACAGTATGTGGGAATAGCAATTAATTGTCATGTAGGGATAAGCTAACATTAATATTCTTCAAAGAAAGCAACTTAAAGCAGAGTCATTGAAAAGACAAAAGGATTTTCGACTCCTATTTATGTTTAATACAGCATATTTAGTGGAAAAGCATATAAGATACAGAGGTTAAAACCTACTAGAAAGGGTTAAAAAGTTCAATACTGAGTCATAAAGTAAACTGAAAGTTAAAGTTCAAACTTCATAAAATTAATATGAAATCCCTTTAGCTAACATAAGATCATGTAACCAAAAACATCATACAACAAATAACATCAGTCAATATAATAAGAGAAGATGAATCCTACTAAAACAGTTCTTTATGTTGCTCAGTCCAAATAATTGCTTTTCTACTTAACTGATTTGTGTTGATACTGATCACTATGTCCCAATAAGTATAATTTGATCTTATTAATTTATTATTTATGACTTGAGTGACTGCTATCAATCTAGAACAACACACAGATTAAAAGAAATAACCATACCTTCCATATCTATCAAGTGCATTTAAATTAGCTTTTTTCTTGATTAAAAATTTCACCACTTCCTGTTTTTGTTCATGTACGCCAAGCAAAAGTGGTGTGAGGCCACACTGTAAAACAATATAAAACAAAAACAATATGTAATTCAAAAAATTATGTATCTCTCAACTGAACTGGAAGCTTATGGACTTACACTCACAGAAAGTAAATAAAATTTGGTCGCTTCCTTCTCACTCTTCTGTACTTTCCCACATGCCACTCCTTCCCTTGGAAACATCCCTTCTCTGCCTCACCACATTAAATCTGATCATCTCAAAAACTCACTTTAAACATTTACTGTTTCCAAGACTCTTTGTTTCTAAATGAGCATTTGGCATGGCACTTTTGGATGATTTTTTTTTTCATTTAAACAAAAAGCTTCTTGAGGGCAGGGGCTGTATCTTTTATCTCTATTATTATCCAATCCTAAGACAAAATTGTTGTGTATAAAGCAAGAATTTGAATGTAAAATATTTCTTTAGTTTCACATGTTTTACCAAAGTTCAAGCTCCAACATGCAATAAATATTGCTATTAATACTCACACTGCCCATTTCAAGAATTTTTTCCAACATTTATTCATTTAAAATCTATTTGTATTTAATTTTTCCAGATTGTTAACTAGATAGATAATCAGTTCATAGGATTACTGAAACTAAGAGATTTCCTATATGTATTCTTAATAACTCCATGGTTTTGAGTGTTTAAACCTGCCATCCTGATTAAGCCAAAGCTCTACAAACTTAAGAGACATACTGGATAGCCCACAATATAGCTTCAATTGACAAAAAAGGTTTAGAATTTGCTACAATTCTGAGAAAACTCTGCTCTTAAAAACGACTTACTGACCTAAGCACTTGAATGATTGAACAAAGGGACACAAAGTCCTGAGAGAGCCATCCTCTACTTATTGGAAGACTACTCACTGCAAATTTCTAAAGACCTTCTGAATGGCAGTGAATAACTGATGGTAGAAAGGAAAAGGTATTATTCTGTAAGCTGATAGATAGTGCCAATAATATTTATTTTAATGTCCCAACGACAGAGATAAGTCAGACTAGGCCAGGAATGGTGGCTCACACCTGTAATCTTAGCATTTTGGGAGCCTGAGGTGGGTGATTCACTTGAGCCCAGGAGTTCAAGATCAGCCTGAGAAACATGGCAAAAACCTCATCTCTACTAAAAAAAAAAAAAATACAAAAACAGATTGGAGGACCACCAGAGCTTAGGGACGTCAAGGCTGTGGTGATCTGTGACCGCACCACTGCACTCCAGCCTGGGGAACAGAGTGAGACCCCATCTCAAAAACAAACAAACAAAAATTTAGATTAATGTTATTGGAAAGGAAAGATTTAAAGGAATTAGCACATATCCAACTCCAACTCTTCTAGAAATATCTGAAGTTTCTGAGATATAAGAATTTACATATTACACTTATGTATTCAGTGGTTAAGCAGGAGTGTATCCGGATTTTGAGAAATTTGTTGTTGTTGTTGTTAGAGACAGGGTCTCATTATGTTGACCAGGCTAGACTAGAACTCCTAAGCTCAGGCAATCCTCCCACCTCAGCCTCCCTAGCAGCTGGGACTACAGCCATGCACCACCATGCCTGGCTTCAAGGAAACATTTTTAAACATACATATCCAGGCTTTATTAGACTTACTCTATCAAAATCTTCAGGGGAAAACCTAGACTTGAAGATTATTTAAAAATTTTCCTGAAGTAACTGGAATGCACAACTCTAGCTGGAAGCTAGTGCAATAGACAATTATTTCAGTCTCATCTCTCATCACATAAACAATTCCCTTTATCGTTTGAGGATTTGGCCAAAAAGAGGAAAGAGTAGGAGAGAGACTCATTTGCTGAAAACACCACAAAATTTTCCCCGGTAAGAGTAGAACAAGGTCTAGTAAACTCAAAATCCAACCTGATCTTTTTACTTATAAGCCCCTTATCTCCCACCTTCCCATCAAGACATTCTAGAATTGAAAGCAGAGTTGAGACTCTAATTGGCCATTTCTACCAGAATAGGATACTAAGTTGGTTAATTACTTGTTATTCCTTCTACTCAAGGGTTTCCCACTACATTACCACATATTCACTGCCAGTCTGGTTCCTCAGAGGCCTCCTAAAATTGATCTCTAGGCAGTTTACAACCCACTAACTCCCTCTCCCAAACTGAAAACTGTCATTCTCTAAAATGGAAAAGAACCCTGTCTCACCATATAAAGGAAACAAATGAATGAACAACAATAACAACACACACACACACACACACACACACACACACACACACACAAACAAAAACAAAAACAAAAACAAAAAAAAACCTCTTCATGGTCTTTTCCCCCATTACCTAATTTCCAAGTTGGCCTTGGTATTTCTGATTGCTGCATTTTTCCCTTTCCAATTCTGCCTCATGAGCAATCAGAAATATCTTAAGCCTTGCCACTGAGAGATACATCACCTCATATCTATTAGTGTTTTTTTAGGAATTTGCCAAAGTAGCAGGATTACTATTCACTGAAACATGTTTAAGTTTTCTTGGAGTTTTAATGTAAAACCTATTTCCAGGGCAAATTTTGTCATTTTACATTTGTTAGGGAAAAAAAAACTTGGCAGGGAAAAATTGAAAAAAAAAAAAGTATTACCTTTTACAAATTCAGTGTTTTTTTTTTTAAAAAGCATTAACCACAAGTGCACTGAAAAAAACTGTACCCTCTAATGCTTCTTTAAAAGTAACAATATTTAAAATAAAGTCTTAGATAATTAAGTCATTTCAAAATATTTTCATTCAGGTTATGCTTGAGCTTCCAAATACGGAAAACTGGCCCTTACACAGGTCAATGTTAACACGAATGCATTTCAGTATTTTGAAGATAAAATTGGTAGATCTATACCTTGTTTTTTGATTCAATATCAGCACCATATAAGAGCAGTGCTTTGGCCATTAATTTATCTTCATTGTAGATAGCATAGTGTAGAGCGGTATTTCCATACTCATCTTGAATATTTCCATCAGCGCCATGTTCCAGCAACATTAACACACATTCATCTTCCTGGCATTGTACGGCCTGTCAGTATTAGACCAAAAACAAATTATAAGTCCTAGGAATTCAAAATAACATTCCACAGCTTTCACCAACTAGTTATATTTAAATGAGAAAACTCATTTTTATGCTATCTATTGAAATCAAACCCATCTCACGCTGATATAGTTGACTACTGCATACCTTTATCAGAGCTGTCCTTTTTTTGTTGTCAAGGACGTTAAGTTGACATCGTCTGTCCAGCAGGAGTTGTACTACTTCTGAATTTCCATTGGCAGAGGCCAAATGTAGAGCAGTCCTATGAGAGTGAGAAGACTTCAGGAAATTGTAGTGCACTAGCTAATGCCACATTAATGATTCATGTAGTTGCAAACACTGAATAGCCTATTACTCTGCCTTCAAAACAAACTCAATTTTCCTTTGAAGAAAGCACACTACTTATTACCTCTCATTAGTCACTGTATTAATGAAAGAGCAGCCTATTTGAATAGAAAGAGCATAGCTCTTGGATGACATTCAACTTGGGCTGGAATCCTACTTGAAGCTCTGTCGCTTCCTAGCTGTTGCTTAGCCTTTTTGTGTCTCAATTTCCTCATCAATAAAATGGGAATGAAAATAGTCAGTTTCTCAGAGGAAACCACTGTAATGCTTAAATAAGACTCTACACAAAATATAGAATAGTTCCTAACACAAATAACAGCTCAAAAATTGTAAGATATTATAATTTTTACTAATACCACTAAAGACAACATTTGAATTAAGTGAAACGATACAATTATACCTACACTTTCAGGTACATTTTAAAGATTACAGGTAGCGTTGTACTGTATTTTATTGAGTCTAAGATGATCATTGTCTCCATGTTTTAACATTTCTTACACTGAAATACCACTTATTAATTCATGATTTACTATAATTATAATTGGCAGCATTTAAATAATTTTCTTAGTGAGACATAAAATAATGGGGCATCATACAATCCCTGGTGCCTTACATTAAGTAGAATATGTTATAATATAACAGGTCTGGGGCAGTTCCAGTCAGATGACTAGCATTTAGATAAATTTTAGTTCTTAAAAGAACTATGGAATAAGAGGGCTGAGGTGAAAACAAAAACAATTTTCTAAAATAATCTATTTCTTACTTTGGTTTTCAAAAACTTTAAGCCAAAGAAATCTTGAAATTCAAATGAATAGCATGGGCTCATTTTTTTCAATACTTAGATTTATACAACGTATGTACATCAGATATTTCCAATCATTCATATTAGGATTTAAGACTGTTATAAATTTTCTCTTTTTAAAATGGATTTATGAAACTATTTGTGGAGCTTTTTTCAACTTTTACATTCGGGGATACAGGTGCAGGATGTGCAGGTTGGTTAACATAGGTAAACGTGTTCCAAGAGGGTTGGCTGTACAGATTATTTCATTACTCAGGTGTTAAGCCTAGTACCCATTAGTTCTATTTCCTGCTTCTTTCCTTCCTCCCACCCTCCACCCTCTGATAGGCCCCAGTGTGTGTTGCTTCCCTCTAGGTGTCTGTGTGTTCTCCTCATTTAGCTCCCACCTATAAGTGAGACCATGCAGTATTTGGTTTTCTCTTCCTATGTTAGTTTGCTAAGGATAATGGCCTTCAACACCATCCATGTCCCTGCAAAGGACAGGCTCTTGTTCTTTCTTTTGTGGCTACATAGTATTCCATGCTGTTTATGTACCACATTTAAGTTCTTAAAACAGCTAAAACAGTGTTTACCCAAGTCTTATACATTTTCAAAAGGGCAGTTAAGGGTTATCTTTTACTATTTTCCACCTTCAGAAGTGCTTTTGTTTGAAAGGAGGGAGGAAAAGCTTCAATTGAGATTAAGTCCTAATGCCCCAATTTTGATTCTCTCAGCTTGCTCAGGCGCAGCAGGTAAACATGAAGTTTTCAAAGGTGGAAGGATCCTGAGAGATAGCAGAATATGCCTGCCATATAATAGGTGTCTGGCTTATGTTTGATGACTAAACGGATTGAAAGAATGGATAAACATAGGTTGGAAGTTCAATATTTTTAAAAGAAAACTCCTGTTGAGTAGAGCAATACATTTGCGATAGTAACGATCATTTATATTTGCTATTTTAGTTTTCATAAATATATAACTAAACTAAAATAATTAATCCATACTATTTACACATCAATCTATATATAATAAGATGTATACACAATAAAATCTACCAGAAGAGGTAAACAGAAGCCCTCTACTTCTGAAGAGGGTAAAAGTTCACAGAAGATAGCCATCCACAGGTATAAAAATAAATAATAGAATGTAAGAAATTATTTGTATCTATGCAAGTAGCATATTCCTTCTCTTCCCAAGGATTATTTCATTACTAATGAAACTTAACTAAAACTTTGCAGATGTTCATTGCAGAAATCACAGATAAGAGAAAGGGAAAAACTTCACTTACAAATCCCCAGAAATAAGTTTGATTATATTTTCCACATATTTCCAGCTAACACAAGAGCAGATTCTATTTGTGTATATGTATAACAAACTGATTTTTTCTCACTTGATACAGCAAAGTACATCTCTGCATGCCGACATATCTCTGTATCTACTGACACCCTCAATGGTTACATATTATTCCATCCTATGGATGCACTGAAATTTGTTCATAAAATCTTTATATGAGTTCTTCTCAATACATGGCTATTTTAAGCAATACTAAGAAAAACAGCTGTGTCTGTTTCATATAGATATTTCGGTATAATGGAACAGATGGGTAAAAGGCATACACATTTTAAAAATGTGGTTCTTACCATCAAAGTGTCTATTTGAAAAGTCGCAGCAACTTAAACTTTCAGCAGGTATATAAGTACCACTGTTCTTCACCCTCACAAACTTTGTGGACACAAAACAGTATTTCATTCCTTTATATTTATTTATTTATTTTTATTTATTTATTTTTTTGAGATGGAGTCTCACTCCATCACCCAGGCTGGAGTGTAGTGGTGCAATCTCAGCTCACTGCAACCTCCGTCTCCCTGGTTCAAGCAATTCTCCTGCCTCAGCCTCCTGAGTAGCTAGGATTACAGGTGCATGCCACCATGCCCAGCTAATTCTTTGTATTTTTAGTAGAAACGGGTTTCACCATGCTGGCCAGGCTAGTATCAAACTCCTGACCTCGTGATCCACCTGCCTTGGCCTCCCAAAGTGCTGGGATTACAGGCATGAGCCACCATGGCTGGCCTTTCATTCCTCTTCTAACTTAAACAGAAAATAGTCTTTCATTCCTCTTCTAACTTAAATTCCTTCTCTTAGCAGGAATGCTATGTTTTCCTATGTACACAGGTCACTGGTAGACATGCAAAAAAGTACCTTGCCCAATTTTAAATTGAGCTTATTTTATTATATCTGCATATATATGCCGGTTTCAGTGGCTCATGACTGTAATCTCAGCACTTTGGGAGGCTGAGGTGGGTGGATCACAAGGACAGGAGTTCAAGACCAGCCTGGCAAAGATGGTGAAATCCCGTCTTGATTAAGAACACAAAAAATTAGCCAGGCATGGTGGTGGGTGCCTGTAATCCCAGCTACTTGGTAGGCTGAGGCAAAGAATTACTTGAACCAGGAACCAGAGGTTGTAGTGAGCTGATATTGCACCACTGCACTCCAGCCTGGGCTATGGAGTGAGAGTCTGTCTCAGAAAAATAAATAAATATTTGCACATATAAATAGGCATTTGTGTTTTCTTCTGGTACTTTTCTCCTTTTGTATCTTTAAAATTTTTAATCTATACTCCAGGAACTTATTTTTGTGACATAAAAATCTAGGTAGTTTTCTCCAAACAGCATGCATTTAATTTATGAATAATTCACCTTGTTTTACCAATATGAAACATCACCATTATCAAGTGCTAAATTCTTACATATATGTGGGTATTTCTGGATTTCCTATTCTGTTCTGTTCACTTATGTCTTTTCAGCTGTTAGTAAACAATTTGTGGAAATAACACACGCACATTTTGATATCTGGAAAAGCAAGTCTTTTTCCATTCTGTTACAAAAAATCAATTTATCACAATGATAAAATACATCATGTGCAATTTAAAGACACTAAGACTTTGCTATTTTTATTTGGCTTATGTAAAAGTGATAAACACAGAAAAAGCTCACATCTTAAGAAAAACGAACCTTCCTATTCAAAGATATGAACCATACTTCCCATTTCAGTTTCCTTTTAAGGTTACTCAGTAAAGAACGTGTTTACATAGGGTACACATCGATATAAAATCCATATTGGATTTTATTTGAAAAATATTTAGCCCAGAAGTTGATATATTATGGGACTTAGTTCTCAATATACACCTTTCTATAGTGTATAGAACATTGTTTTAAAATGTGTACATTAAAAATAATCTGCTGCATCGACTTAATTTTGCGAGTTAAATCACTTTAAAACCGTCTATTAGTGTTCTATAAGGGAAATTATAATTGGATTGGAAATCAGCTAAAGTTTTGTTTTTGTGTTGCTGTTTATAAAGGGACCTGGGCCCTGACATCTCTGAGGTTTCCACACCCAGGGTGGTGTGGGGCCTGCGGAGGAAGAGAAAGCCTGGCTCCTCCCTCCCTGCGCCAGGAGGGTATGTCCCCATCATCACCCCATGTCCCGCCTCCTCCCATCCCAGGCCCGGTTACCTCTTTTGCTTGTCCCTCTTGTTCATGTCAGTGTCCCTGAGCATGACGATGAGATCCTTTCTGGGGACTTTACCCCACCAGGCAGCTCTGTGGAGCTTGTCCAGATCTTCTCGACGGACGTGGTACCTCGGCTCCATGAAGGCGCTGTCGTCGTAGTCTCCCCAAGTGCCCACGTTGCTCTTGCCGCTCCCCCTGCAGCAGGGGAAGCAGTGACAGCACCACTTGCCCATCTTGCTCCTGAGTGTCTTCATAAAGGAGTCGTCATGGTCTCCAGAAGTGCCCACATTGCTCGTGCCGCTCCCCCTGCAGCAGGGGAAGCGGTGGTGGCACCACTTGCCCATCTTGCTCCTGAGATCAAATGGCTTCTTCACAGCAGAGGCAGCGGGCATTGAACAAACCTCAGCCACCATCTGCTTTTAACAGCCAGGGGAGGCCGGTAGTAGCGAACAGATCGCGTCTACCAACCAGTTTCACCAACTAGCAGGAAACCCTGGGTTTCCAATCTGTTTGAAGAGAAAGGTCAATCCCAGCCAAAACTTGCCAACCCCAGCAAGGGAGCCCAGCCCACCCCACCCAGGGAAAACCCACACCCACCCGGGGAAAGCCCACGCCCACCAGGGGGACCCCACGCCCACCCCAGGAAAGGCCAAGCCCCCCCTCCCAAGGAAACACCCAGCCCAGTCAAGGGAATGCCAAACCCAGCAGAGAAAAGGTCAAGTCCAGCAAAGGAATGCGAGGGAGGAAACGCCAATCCAAGCAAGAAACACCAGGCAAAGCTACTAACAGCCAAGCCAAGCTAGGAACGCAAGGCCAAGCGAGGAACGCGAAGCGAAGCGTACCCGTTACAGGTAAGCCAAGCCGTTATGCGCGTGCGGGGGCGCGCGTGCGGGGCGCGCGCCTCAGACGTTATGCGGCGTGTGCGTGAGGCGTGCGCGTGTCATTGCACGTGGTCCAGGAAGTGGCCGATGTGTGCAATCCGCGTGCGCAAGTCTTGGCGCCACAAATGTCAGTGACAGCCTTGCGTTACTGGCAAAGTTCATGGGAGTTGGCCCAGCTTTCTGGCCACTGAGGAGAGAAGCCTGTGGTGGGAAAAAGCCTCTTGAAGCAGGACTGGGGCTAGAGCGCCTGGAACTCGAGGATGCTGACAGCCTCCTCTGAAGAAAGCCCCCAAGACACTAGTGGTGGCGCTGTTGCGGGTGGCCGCCGCTGCAGCTTAGAGCTCTGGTTGGCGGAGCTGGATGCAAATGGCCTCAAAATCTCCGAGCACAAGACGCCCACGGAGCCCAGGGCCTGCCTGAGGCGCCTTCCACACCTGCTCCTCCTTGGTCCGCACCCAGAACACAGGGCCATCAGCAACGGGGCACTCGGGGCCACAGAATCGGGGCTGGGCTGCTAGCTCCTGCTGTGGTGCCCCCTGCCTGGTGTCCAAACCAGGGCCAACAGCTGTGGGGCTTCTGGCCCGGGGTGCTTCGCTTCACTGGCATGCAGTAGGGTTGAGGTGCAGGCCGCTGTCTCCAGGCCTGCAAGAGGGGGCTGGGAGGAGCACCTACCACTGATGGGGAGATGCAGGAAGGCACCCCCACGTGCAGATCCTGGGAACAGGACACTGCCAGCACCAGGGAGCCAGATCGGAGCCTCCCTGGCAGCCTGTGAGCTGGACCCAGGCAGTGGCACCTCTACCCTCCTGCTGGGACCCTCCTGCTGTGCAGGCTTATGCAGCCAGGCTCCAGGCTGCTTCACCCATACTGCAGGTGCTTTGGTGTGGGAGGAAAAATGCATTCTGGCCGGGCACTGTGGCTCACGCGTGTAATCCCAGCACTTTGGGAGGCTGAGGCGGGTGGATCATAAGGTCAGGAGATAAAGACCATCCTGGCTAACACGGTGAAACCTCATCTCTACTAAAAATACAAAATACTAGCGGGCATGGTCGTGGGCGCCTGTAGTCCCAGCTACTCGGGAGGCAGGAGAATGGCGTGAACCTGGGAGGCGGAGCTTGCAGTGAGCCCGAGATCGCACCACTGCACTCCAGCCTGGGCGACAGAGCGAGACTCCGTCTCAAAAAAAAAAAAAAAAAAAAAAAAAAAAAGAAAGAGAGAGAGAGAGAGACAGAGACAAAGACAGAGACGGAGACAGAGAGACAGACGGAGAGAGAGAAAAATGGATTCTAAGCCTGGGACACCGACCTGCTCCTGCCAACAAAAGCAGAGGGGAAGCCAATTGCAAGTGCAAAAAAAAAGTTTTTATTTCAGTGGGATGAATGTCTAGGTGTGCAGTCACTGGAGTAAACGTCACTGGGACATGCTGTGTAATTCTTTGTGTACATTGCTGAGTTCTACTGCTAATGTTAGCCCATTTCATTCATGAAATTGGTAATTTATGACATCCCTTTTTTCTTTATCATTATTAGTTAAGGTTTGTCAATTTTATAGATATTTTCAAAGAACCAGCTTTATTTCTTTGCTTTTCTTTGTTGTTTTCTTTTGGCTGTTTCATTTATTTCTGCTCTTATCCTTATTATATTCTTTCTTATATTTGTTTTGATTTTATTTTGCTACTATTTTCTACTTTCTTGATGTGATAGCTTGAATTTTTATTTGAGAGATTTCTACTTTTCTATTATATATATTTAGTGAAATACATTTTCCTCTCAGCACTGACGTCAACTGTGTTAAATCAAGTTTGATATGTTGTATTTTTATTTTTATTCAGTTTAATATATTTAATTGTTTCCCTTGAGACGTTCTCCTTAGAAGTGTGCTTGCTGTTTAGCACTATTCACAATAGCAAAGACATGGAATCAACCTAAATGCCCATTGGTAATAGACTGGATGAAGAAAATGCAGTACCCATACAACATGGAATACTATGCAGCCATAAAAATGAAGGAGATCATGTTCATTGCAGGGACATGGATGGAACAGGAAGCCATTATCCTCAGGAAACTAATGCAGAAACAGAAAGCCAAACATCTAATGTTCTCACTTATAAGTAGGAGCTGAACAATGAGAACACATGGACACAGGGAATTAAGCAACACACACTGGGGCCTGTGGATGGGGGAGGGAGAGGGAGAGCATTGGGAAAAATCTCTAATGCATGCTGGGCTTAAACCGAGGTGATGGGTTGATAGGTAGGGAAAACCACCATGGCACAAATTTACCTATGTAACAAACCTGCACATCCTTCACACCTACCCCAGAACTTAAAATAAATAAAAATGTAAAAAAAAGAACTAAAAAAGTATGCTGTTTATTTTTCAAGTATTTAAGATTCTGCTGTTATTTTACTTTTTTATTTTTAATTTGATGCCATTTTGGCTGGAGGATACATTCTACAGGATTTCAGTTTTTAAAAAATTCTTAATGTTTGTTAAAATCCAGGATACAGTCCATTTTGGTTTATGTTCTGTGGGTACCTAAATGTTCTGCTGTATTCTGCTGCTAGGGGTTGGAGCCTGTTTTTTTCTTCTTTTTTTTATCTCCAGGTACAATTTGCCCTATGAGACACCTGATATAGTAAGTAGCCCATCAGGTATCCAGCAGTAAAAACTAAATTAGTGGAAGGAAGTCCTGTCCCAACTGGTTTGACATATTGTGGCTGAATTTTTAGGTTTTAGTGAAAATAATAATGATGGCTTGATCTTCAAAGTTGTTTTTTTTTTTTTTTTTTTACCATTTCCCAAATAGCTGGGGATTATTGTGGTGTAACCACTTAAAACTCTGATGAAATGTGGAAAGAATTTCTTTTTCTAATTGATACTTTGTGAGTGCAACTACTTTGCATTGTGCAGAGAGAAAAAAATATATTCCAGGCATTCGCCAAATCAAAAGTGCATGAACAAGTCCCTAAATTTCTTCCTGTCCTCAGATTTCCACCATAAAGTTTCAGACCAAATAAAAAATTGTTTTTTCACTAATTTTCTTTGAGGAAATGTAAGAGAAAAAAAAGAAAGAAACAAGTGTTTTGAAGGGTAGAATTTTGGCAATTATATGAGATTGTAAAATCCGAATGTGGATTAGCTTCAACTCATCAAAGATTCAAGAACAGCTACAGTTCTAAGAATGAGCCAAAAAAAAATGGGTATGCATTGAGGGGAGGGAATTAGGAAGGGAATTTATAGCCATTCAGACATTTCCCAACATTAAGCCTTCATGAATTTTGCATTGGAAAGAAATATTTATAAATTAAGAAACTCAGTATCCAGTCCACCCTGTGATAAATACTGCAATGTGCCCAAGCATTCCAATTTGAGTATGGCTTTGTGCTTTGCCAATCATAACAATGGAAGATAGAAGTAATAAGAGCCTGCATGAAGCACTGTGCTAATGATAATTTTCCCAGTAAGAACAAAAGAGAGGCCATTACTTTTAAACATCATTGAATATAATCAAACACTGGGTAGGCTTGTCTGTATTTAGATTTTATAACTCTACGGTTATAGCTATAAAGTAAAAAAGACATATTATAAAATTTCTGTCATTAAGAAAAGTATTTATTATTACAAATGTGAATTTCTCTAGACGGTAAATTCTTTGGAATTAGTTGACTTCATGTAAGTTGATTTGTTCAGTAACACAGAGTAGACTTCTTGTAAATAGGAACAAGTGTGCATCTGATCAAGATCCACTATTTTCTTATATGTATATCCCTTTTCTGCCTTCCCTCAGAATACTATCTTTCACAAAACAACACACATCTCTTCCACCAACTTCTCCCCAGAATATTGCATATTCGATCAGTGTCCACAAATGTTAGATACAGAATGTTAAATTACTATTAGGTTTGCGCAAATGTAGTTGTGATTAATGGCAAAAATCGCAATTATTTTTGCACCAACCTAATAGTAACATTGAAACACAATATTAGTTATTCAACATCAGAAAGATCTTCCAGAACAGTCATCACCACAGATGGGCCAAACTATTATTTGTAGGGCACTGCAGTAAGTTAGAATTTTATCAAATTCATAAATTAATGGATATTTTGTTAAGGGATATGAACAGCCTGTAGTATAAATTTGAGCTATACATTGTTGGGAGAACAAAATAATAAAACGATATAATAGTAGCAATCAAGTGGTGACCTTTCTGTCACACTTACAATTTTCAATGCACTTGTCTACTTATTATTTCATGTGTGGATGGGTTAGCTGAGTGGCGGGGCCATCAGATGTCATATATACAGATGACTCCCTTCTATACACCATTCTGCCATTAGTTGATGTATATTTTACTTTTGCTTTTCCCTTCCCATTTCACTACTAGATAAAAATCCTAATCTTGAGTTCTAAATCACACCTAGTTTTACTCATGTGTAGTTGTACCTGACAAAGAATTACACTACATAAATTCCATCCATTAGAGGTGTGGCCGAATGGACAGAAAACCATTAACATTGATTACTTCAGTGCATGTGGGATTGCAAATGCAGATGAGAAGGAGAAGATTTTTATTTTTTCTTTATATAAGTTTACCTTATGTATTCTAATGCAAGGCTCAAGTATCATTTATAGTGAAACATTAAAATGTTCTTAAAATTCATGTCCTTAATGTTCTGTAAAGGAAGCATAAACTCATTTATTGCAACAAATGCAACAATTTATTTCATTCCTCAGATTATTGATCCTGATATAAATAAAACTGTTCAGAACTTGCACAGAGATATTTAAACGAACAAAGAAACAAAAAATCTAGGGAAGAAGTGAAGAAAAGAATGCTTTTTAAATTACTTAATCATTGTTGATGGACTGACAACATCCAACTTACATCTCCTGAATTAAACCTGATATTTTCTTGGAGAGTAGTGAGGAGTAGTTGAGGGTAGATAGGAAAGAGAGTGTATTTTGAGAAATGTAAAATTTAGAGAAGCTTAATTTAAACACTCCCTGTGTGTCAAAGAGCTATTAAATAAAATTTTCATGATTTTAATATAAGTGAATCTGAACTAGCATATGGTCTAAGTTTCTTTTAAGTTGCACATGGATTTAAAATATAGGGGAAAAAGATCACTTGGCAAATATGTTTTTGGTTTTGAAAAACTTCCAAATGTTTAAAAAGTACTTTTCAAATCAACCATACCCATATGCATCCAGGTTTTCTCATCCTCACCAGTGAAGGATAAAAAGAAATAGAATTAAGGCAAAATGGATGGAGAGGTGATACATATGCTGTAAAACTATGTCAGAAATATCAGTTGATTCTTTAGGGAATTGGTTAAAAAAATAAATTTAGTCCTTATGGCAATTTAACCCAAAGAATCTAACACTTATTCTTAGTGGCTTAGGATCATGGATGATATTAATCTGTCACAAGATGATTCTATGACTATTTCCAGAAGTGGAAAAGTGCAGAAATAGAAAATGCATATGATATTGCTATTTTATTTTGTTCCAAGTCTTGTCACTATTGGTGGAAAACAGTTTTCCAAAGGAATGAACATTTAGATAAATTATGGAATGAAGAATCATTTTCAATCCTTTATGCATAGATGCATTGATAATAACTGAACATCTTTGGCATCTGGCTTCCAGATACAGTGACGATTCCTTCAAGACATCTAGAAATTAAATAGATGTGCGTGAACACTTTAAAAAATGTAAATACATTAAATGTCAGTTATTTTGAAATAAGTTACTTTTTTAAACAGGAAGCATTTTTAATTAAAAATTAGAAAATAGCTATATTTGGACAATTAGTTACTCAATGTTTTTTCCAAATAACAGATGAAATATACTTTGATGTTTTTTGTTTTAAATAAATGCAAATATATGGATACAAAACAAATCAAACATTGCTACAAATGAAATATATGTGCTGTCAGTAATTCTCAAACATTGAATAATATTCAGTGAACTTCAACACATACCTTTGGTGGCCCGTTAAAATTCATTATAATGAATTTTGAATTAGATTCCAAAATGAACACACTATTTTCTTAGCTTTTAGCGTCTGTCGTTTTTTTCTATATTCATTTTTCTTTTTTTTTTTGACTGAGGTGGCGTCTCACTCTGTCACCCAGGCTGGAGTGCAGTAGCACAATCTCGGCTTACTGCAAGCACCGCCTCCCAGGTTCAAGAGATTCTCTTACCTGAGCTTCTCAAGTAGCTGGTTACAGGTGCGTGCCACCACGCCCAGCTAATTTTTGTATTGTTGGTAGAGATGAGGTTTCACCATGTTGGCCAGGCTGGTCTCGAACTCCCGACCTCAGGCGATCCACCCACCTTGGCCTCCCAGAGTGCTGGGATTACAGGCGTGAGCCACTGCACCTGGCTGGTTTTTTTTTTCTATTTTCATTACTAAGACTAAACAATAGTTATGTGACTGAATACAGCTGATCATTTTACCAACTCCTTTCAGCAAATTCATTTTGTCATTTTAATTAAGTTCAAATTTAAGAAGTGAATAAATATAGATACTATAGCACATATATTTCCCAAAACATAATATAATATGTGTGTGTGTGTGTGTGTGTGTGTGTGTGTGTGCATTTGGGAAATAAAAGAGTATTATATTTTACTCAAACAACATCAAACATGCAGTCAAGTAAGTTTGATGAAGAAGATAATATTTTAGCCTAAGAATGAGAATTCTGTAAGACAATGTGTTACTTTATAGTATCAGTTATGTGACCCTTCCACACTGATATTTTGGGTGCAATTGCACCCTCTTTGCCATATACTCTTGGGAGAATAGAAGGTTCTTCACATTTTTCCATTCATTGTAACTTCTCCTGTAGGACAGCCCACAGATACATTTCCTAGACTATATTAAGGAAACAAAAGCAAACAAATATGAGAAAATAATAAAGGTAAGTGTCTGGGAGGGTGAGAAATCAAATTCAGTGGGGTTTAAACTATATCTCATACAAGTGTCCCAAAGTTGTGCTTTTGGAGAAATTCACCTTGGATAGAGACATGGTCAAGTGACCATGTCTCTTTACCTTTACCTTTTTTAAAAAACAATACATAGCTGTATCCTTGGAAGAGAGGCAAGGAGTGCTGTAGGGTGACTATCTTTGATTTCTGTTGTGGTTCAGAGGAAGTGTAACTTTCTTAAAAGATACCTTGACTTTTGTCACATTTAGCTATTCGTTCCTTTTTATTTAGGAAAAAAAGGCTGAGCCTGCTGTGGCTTGGGCTCTTATTATCTTTTCTTGGGCTTCTTGGATCTCATAAATGATAACTCTACTTTTATTGTTGCCTTCTCCAAAGGAACCTGAATACCAGCATCACCTTCATTTACCCTAAAGCATGATTCTCTGCCTAAGAAAACCCCTATGGTTGACATTTACATTTACTTTATACCTCTCTTAATCTTTTGAGGAATGCCTCTCTACCTATTCTGCATGGTAAAGTTCTAATTAATTACAACTATGAAACAGATATTTCCTTCTTTTCTTATGTTTCAGATATTGAATTACTTTATTATTGCCAAGCACAATCTGCTTTGCTAAATTATTCAGTATAAGCTTGCTTCTTCCATTAGACTTTGGAATTCCTGAGATAAGAAATTACGCTTTATTCTGAAAGTGTGCTTAAATCAATGGAAAGTTGGTTTGTCCAAACTGGATATAGAGGAATAGAGTTATTCTGTACACAGCCACTTTTAGTTGCAAGAGCAGCTAGAAATAGGAGTTATGCTACCTTTTCAAAGACATGTCCTCAGCCAGGTGCAGTGGCTAGTGCCTGTAATCCCAGCAATTTGGGAGGCTGAGGCGGGTGGATCATGAGGTCAGGAGATCGAGACCGTCCTGGCTAACACGGTGAAACCCAACTCTACTAAAAATAAAAATAAAAATAAAAATAAAAATAAAATAAAATAAAATAAAATAAAATAAATTAGCTGGGCATGGTGGTGAGTGCCTGTAGTCCCAGCTACTGGGGAGGCTGAGGGGGAGAATGGCTTGAACTCAGCAGGCGGAGCTTGCAGTGAGCCGAGATCGCACCACTGCACTCCAGCCTGGGTGACAGAGCAAGACTCTTTCTCAAAAATAAATAAATAAATAAATAAACAAAATAAAGGTAGGCTATACTAAGTTAAAGATGCTGGCTGTAACCCTAGAGCCATCACAAAATAAAATAAGGTAAAATACAGATACAGTAAATAAGCCACTAGTGAAGACAAAATAGATACAATGAAATTAGAAAAAAATTAAAATCCTTTAAAAAGCCCCATTTGCCTCGATTTTCCTAATTACACAAAGGAGGCAAAGTGTGAAAAAGGATAGATCACGTTCCTCTAAGGACCCATGTCAGGTATCTGTGGAATGCAGGCGGTGCAGGAGGGTGGGAATGGGTGGGTGCCCAGCGTTGCTAAAGCTATGGAGTGTCTTCCCATTTTTAAAGAAATCCAGAAGTGCAGATCTATTCATTCAACCATTCATTGATGTAAAATCTGGTTTCTAAGGTGTTCAGTTTGATGACTAATATATGTATACTTTGCCATCAAAATCAAACTCATTCACATTCCCATCACCTCGCAGAGCTGCCCTCTTTCATGTGTGTGGTGAGAACAATAAGATCTACCTCCTCAGCAAATGTCAAGTATACATCGCAGTGTTGTTAGCTATATTCACAATGTTGAACAGTAGATCTCCAGAACTTATTCATCTTGCATAACTGAAATTTTATACCCTTTGACCAACATCTGCCCATCTCTCCTTCCCCCAGCCCCTGGCAACCACTCTATACCCAGCAATCCCATTTCTTTGGGGATATAGCCAAAGGAAATAAAATCAATATCTGGAAAAGATACCTGCACTGTTATGTCCATTTGGGCATTTTTAACAATAGCCAAGTAATAGAAACAACCTAAATGTCTGTCAATGGATAAATGGATAAAGAAATGAAAAAAAATACACACACACACACACACACACACACACACACACACACACACACACACAGTGGGATATTATTTAGCATTAATGAATAAAAAAATCCTGCCATTTTTGACAGCATGGATGGACTTGGAGAACATGCTTGGTGAAATAAGCCAAGCACAGAAAGACGAATAACACATTGTCTCACTTATAGGATGACACTGCATTCACGTTTCAGCCACCTCTGCCACACCCACCCATGCAAACACACCCACCCATCTCAGTTCCTGCCCCTGACTGGGGGACAGGGTGGGCGCTCTCTGGCACATGTTCCACTCATGCTTCTCCACCTCCAGCTATTTTAGGCTCTGACACTGAAAATGAAATTCTTACCAAGACGATATGTGTTGTGTTGACATAAAACTGATAGAAAGTGTACCAAAAAACATGGAAGTTTTAAACATAATCCACCAAAAGAACATACTCACAGTCGACGTTTCTTTCATTATTAAGAATGAATGTCCATAACCCTCACTAAGACAAAAGTCATCCCATTTGTCTACATTTTTTTTCTTTGCAAACACACACTGAATGACTTTGTGTGACAAGCTGTGAAGTTTTACCAATTCTTCAAACTCTTTGATTTGCATTATGCTGTTTAATCCTGAGAGGCGAGCAGCTGTCGCTGGTAATTCTAAGCCTAGAATTCCACCACCTAATAGGTGAAAATTATAGTAGGCTGATCATAAAACCATGTTGTTAACTTTTTAAAATTTAATGACTACCAAGGAATTTCACCTTAGTGATACATCTTTTGAGAGATTAGAAAATGAAGAAATGCACGTGTTCAATGATCCATTTTAGAATTTAAAAAGTCTTTCAAATGAGCATCTTATTCATATATTGTGAAGAACCACTGGAAACAGTTATTTAATAATGTGGCTAAACGCGTATTCAGAGTAATGCTTCCTGTATATTTGCACATTTATACACTTATGTCCCGCTCCTGGAATAGACTTACCAGTTTCCTTTTCAGAAAATTTCAGAATTTCTGAAATGTGCCGAAGTACTAGTGGGTAACTTAGATTTGGAATACACTGTATTAGGTGTAACTGGAAAACTGAGAGGCTTCCTACACTGGAAGGTCAAAGATCTTTCCTGGAGGAGAGTTAAGAATTTGCCTTTTCTTACCATGACTCTGTTAAAAGAGAATATAAACAATGCAGTTTCACAAAAGGAAGGGGACAGTGGTGTAAATAAACCTCCCCATCATGTTCTGGTGGCTTTCCTGTAAGTCTTGAACGTTTTCCACTGGGTGTTACAGTCGAGAGGCCCCCACCTCCTGAGGAAGCAAGACCCCGAAACCCCGAGACGATGGGCTGTGCTGCTTTGGCCCCATCTTGCTTGTGTTGTTTGAAGGGGCCCTGCTGCCACCCAGCTGTCATTAACGCCACCCTCACCTCCCAGGAACTGCATCACTCGGACGGACAAGACACCTATGTAATGACCATAGTAAGACCCCATGTGCGTGGCTAATGAGGCAGTGCCCAACGTGGCGTGGAAGCCCTGCTAGGGAAATCCCGCCCCGCCACCCCAGATGCGCCACCCCAGACCTGCTCTCGGACCTGCGGCCCCTGGCCCCTGGCCCTTTCCCGTTGTCACCGAGGCTTCTTGCTAAGAAATGGAACTTCAGAAAACCCCCAAATATATACTGCATTAGGTAAGGGTTTCATTCTAATGGAGTCCCATGTGACCCTGGCTTTCCGTCCGGCAGCAATGCACTCCTGTCTATGAATGAGATGAAAAGAGTGCCCACAACAAGCCAATTTCTTTCAGGAGCGACTAAGACATGCGCATGTCCGGGGGTGCCTCAGAGCACCCGGGAGGGACCCAGGCCTGGGCAGGGAGGGGGGGCCGGCCCTAGGGGAGCAAAGCTCTTGAAACTGGCCTCTGTTGCCGGGCTCCTGACCCTGCCCTCCCATCCCTGCACTACAAGAGGACAGCGGCGACTACAGGAGGCGCCGAAGACGCTGCTGAAGGCCCTAAAGAAACTTCAGCAGAACCGGAACTCCCCTTGCAGGTCCAGCCGCGGGCCCTGCGCCCTCCCGCTCAGCCGAGCGGGGCCGAGGGCGCGTTTGCTGAGTGTCTGGTGGCCTCTACCCAAGCGCCTCTTCAGAGGGCTGTTCCTGCGGCCCAGAGACTGCTTGAGGCGCTCGGGGAAGGAAAAGCAGGCGCTGGTGCGCCGGGGGCTCTGCTGGGGACGGCGCGGAGCTGACTGAAGGGCCGCTGCGGTAGCGCAGGGCGCAGGAGCTGCTCCGCCCCGGAGCGCCGGGAAGGTTGGCGCTGGCAGCCTCCAGCCCCTGCCAGCCGGGCGAGAGCAGGCGGAGAAGGAGGATGCACCGTCACCTATGGCTCGCCTCCACCGGCCGGCACGCAAGGTGAGCTCTGGGTGCGCCCGGCGGGACAGTGAGGTAAAAGGGCGGGAGCGCGGGAGAGGACTCGTGGCCCCGGCTCAGCCCGCACCCCTCTCCTCTGGGATCCCGAATCGCGGGCTGCGTGGTGGGCCAGGAGAGGTGCAGAGCAGGCGGGGCGCCGCGGCCAGTCCGGAGCGCAAACTTTCCCTGGCGACTGCAGCGCTGAATCTGGGCGCAGGAGAGCGCGGGGTCCGGGCTGCTCAGCCCTGCCCGGCGGGGTACCTGGGCGCAGCGCACATGGGTCAGCCGGTAGGAATTGCGGGATGGGGGACACCCAGCGCCACTGTCGGGAGCCGTAGGAGCGAGATGGACCACCTGGAAGGCCCGGGTCAGCCCTTGGGCTCTGAGGCACGCGGCGTCCCGGCGCTGGTGGCAGGGTGGACTCGGATCCCGCGAGGGTGTCGCGCTAGTCGCGGGGGCTGCTTGAGGCCGGGGGACTTCGAGCCGCTGCTGCACCACTCGCTCCCAGCCCAGGAGGAAGGCGCCGGCTGGCGTTGCGCTCTGCTCGGACTCAGGGCAGGAGCGGGGGAGGTCTGCGAAAGCCGGGAGCGAGCCGGGGAGGGCCCGCGAACTGGAGAGGCTCGGCGCGCCGCTGCGGACGCGGCGGATGGCCGACCACGGGTGCCAGGGGAGGCCCAGGCTGCGGCGCCGCAGGGCAGCCCCCGCGCCCACCTGCCCCTGCGCGCCGGCCCTGGCGAGCCTCTGTGGAGGTCAGGGGACCGTAGCCTCTCCTGGGGTTCCTGCCTAGCGACTGAGGGGCGGCAGGAGGCGCAGCTCCGGTTTCCCGCATGCAGCGCCGCGTGCTCGCCGCCTGGTTTTGTCCGGGTCAGGCAGACCAGCCCCAGGACGCGCCCAGCCGACCCACGCATGGCAACCTGCCCTTCTTGGCAGGAGTCGCAGAGGGCTTTGGCTTCTGAGGTGGAAGTACCTGTTATGTCTCCTAATTCCGGAGTTTGCGGGGGTTTGGGCTGGCGGGGGGCTCATTGGGAAAATGCTTTTCAAAGCATTCTGTTTGGCTGCCGTGAGCACCTATTTGCCTTATGTGCATATTGAGAAATGTGTGCTTCTACTAAGGTTAGTCGCTGAGCCCAGGGACAGTGTAGGCCTGGATTTCAAATGCATTAATTAGGGTCCAGCACCCAGCCTAGAGACTTCCACAAATGCAGTAGTTATTTCGTCACGGGGACTGAATGCGGAGAAAGTAGCCACACCGTTATAGGCAATTGTTATACCCTTGTGATCCTGCAGAAAACCTGTTTCTTAAATGTGCTTCCCCCCTCTTTCTTTCTATGTACTTTCAGTGCCTTGCAGAACTAGGAGTAACGTGCTGACTTTGAACACGTGGTAGATATTTCAGAAAGGTAAAATTGTTAGGCTTGTGGATTTGACAGATACAAAATACAGTTGCTCAGACAACTAAAGCATTTATTTTAATAATTGGACTAATGTTTCATTTGATAACATACTAAAAAATAAAACAGGTTGGGCGCAGTGCTCACGCCTGTAATCCCAGCACTTTGGGAGGCCAAGGCGGCGGATTACGAGATCAAGAGATCCAGACCATCCTGGCCAACATGTTGAAACCCCATCTCTACTAAAAATGCCAAAATTAGCTGGACGTGCTGGCGTGCGCCTGTAGTCCCAGCTACTCGGGAGGCTGAGGCAGAATTGCTTGAACCCGGGAGGCGGAGGCTGCAGTGAGCTGAGATTGCACCATTGCACTCCAGCCTGGCAACAGAACGAGACTCCATCTCAAAAATAAAATAAAATAAAATAAAATAAAATAAAATAAAATAAAATAAAGCAGAGTATTTGAGACATAGAAAACAATAAATTACGATGACTCTGCACTCTGAGTAGAAGTAAAAATAAGCCAACTTGTTAATCTTTTTATGTTTCAACTTACTGCCCGGTGGGCGTGGTGGAAAATTCCTTGCGTGCAGCTGTGCCAGGGAAGGACAGCCAGCTTCCTTTCTCTAGGTTACAGCAGGGAAGGACAGCCGGCTCCTTTCTCCAGGTCACAGGATCTGCTCTGCTTGGATTTGATACGGTGGTTAGTGCAGCCCATAGTCCAGTTGCTGCAGCAAAAGTTGCTTGAGTCTTTGATAGGAGAGGACACTTGAAAGCAGGAAATGAGAAACACATTTTGATCTTTATGTAGGAGCTCATTGTTCCTGACTCTCTCCTGGGATAAAGGACAGGGAAGAGTGGACTTTTTTGCACTTCTAGTTCCTTCTCCCTGTAGCTGTAGTCGTAGCAAGTAAAGGGGTTGTACTGATGCTTTTTAAGGCATATTATCAACATACAGCCATGACTTGTCCAGAGAATCTCACCTGACAAAAACTCAGAGAAGAAAGAGAAAGAAGATGAAATGGCTGGTTTTCAGGTAAATGTGTCCCAGTTCAAGGGCTGTGACATGGATAGACTGCATGGTGGTGAGGTCAGGGCTTTTAGGGTATCCATCATCAGAATAACATACATGTCTCTGAATTTTGATGTTAGCCATCCTAACAAGTGTGAAATGATATGTCATCATTGTTTCTATTTGTATTTGCCTCATGATTGAAGATGTTGAGCAGCTTTTCAAATACTCTTAGTTTACGTCTTCACTAAAAAAATATTTCTTTACCTGTCTTTTAATCATGTTATCATTACTGTCATTATTATTGTTGTTTTGGTTTTTTATTTGTATGAGTTCCTTACATATTTTGGATATTAACCACTTAACAGTGGTTTGCAGATATTTTCTCCCAACCTGTAAGTTTTCTTATTGTTTTCTGTTTATAAGTTTTTTAGTTTGATGTAGTCCAACTTTTTTATATTTGCCTTTGTGGCGCACTTTTTGTGTCAGATCCAAAAAAATACTGTCAAGACCAATATAAAGGAGGTTGACCACATTTTGTTTTCTTTTAGGATTTTTAAGAATTCATGTGTTTTATTTGTCCTTATTTTGAGTTAATTTTGGGATATGATGTAAGAAAAATCATCTAATTTTATTCTTTTGCTTGTGGATACCCAATTTTCTTAGCTCCAAATAATAAAGGGATTTCACTTACTGCATTGTGCATTTTCAATATCCTTGTTCAAGATTAATTGATTTTATAGGCATAGGTTTTTTTTTTCTAGGATCTCTACTTTGTTCTGTAGGTTTTCGTGTTCATTTTTATGCACATGCTGTCTTGTTTTTATTACTATAGTATTGAATATAATTTAAAATCAGAAACTATAGGGGCGGGTGCAGTGGCTCACACACCTGTAATCCCAGTACTTTGGGAGGCCGAGGTGGGTGGATCATGAGGTCAGGAGTTCGAGACCAGCCTGACCAACATGGTGAAATCTCGTCTCTACTAAAAATATAAAAATTAGCCGGGCATGGTGGCGAGCACCTGTAATCCCAGCTACTCAGGAGACTGATGTAGGAGAATCACTTGAACCTGGGAGGCAGAGGTTGCAGTGAGCTGAGATCGTACCATTGCACTCCAACCTGGGTGACAGAGTGAGACTCCATCTCAAAAAAAAAAAAAAAAAGATCAGAAACTATAATATCCTTAGCTTTCTTCTTCCTCAAGATTGCTTTAGCTATTCAAAGTCTGTTGTAATTTCACATAAATTTTAAGCTTGTATTTTCTATTACTGTGAAACAAGTTATTGGAATTTTTATAGGGAGTTTATTAAATCTATAGATCATTTTGGATAATGTAGAATTTTAACAATATTTACTCCTCCAATCTATGATAGCTTTACATTTTTTGTCTTCTCCAGTTTCCTTTATCAATATTTTATTTTTCAGCATAAAGATCTTTCACCTTAGTTGTTAAATTTGTTCCTAAGAAATTTATTGTTTTTTATTTTATTTTAAATGAAATCATTTTCTTCCTTTTAATTGGATAGTTTGTTGTTAGGGTATAAAAACACAATTGAGATTTGTATGCTGTTTTTATATTCTGAAAATTCATTGAGTGCATTTATTAGTTTAAATAGGTTTTTGGTGTACTATTTATGGTTTTTGTATATAAGATCATGTCATCTACAAAAAGTGACATTTTTTCAATTTAGATGGCTTTAAAATATTTTTCCCCAAATTGTTCTACTTAGGACTACTAGTATGTTAAAATAGAAGCATTAAAATTGGGCACAAGGTGGCTTCATTGTGACTCCTCTTATTTCGAGCAGACTCAACTGCTTTCAGAACTTTGATCTGTAGGGCAGATGCCAGGGCCAGGGTTCTGAAGCTGGGTTTGCATATGGCGGCCCTGATAGTAGGTGTGTGGATGAAGTGTGACTTCTGCTGAGTACCTGAGAGGGTTTTCTCTCCCTTTGTGGGTCTCTAGGTGGGCAGAACTGTCTATAAACTATGGTGAAGAGGGCTGAAACTGAGTCACAGACCTGCTTCAGAGGCCACAGTAAAGGTGAAAGGTTAAATTCTGCAGGTCTGCCTCCATTATCATGAATGTCTCTCCCCAGTTCTCTGTATGGGAAGGACTAATTCCAGACCATAACTGGGAGGCATTGGAGATGGTTACAGAGTCACTTCAGGATTCTCAGTGTGACTGAGTAGGATGGGTCAATTCCTAGTCTGTAGACAAGATCAGGGGTTCTCAGATTTGCCCCCTGAATGAGGGCCTGCCTTCCCAAAACAGCCCTCCTCAGTCTTTGTTTTTCACAGGGTATCATAATGCCCTCTCTAATCCCAAAGCTCCCATAAAGGCACTTTTGTCCATGGATGGCTGCAAAAGTATTGTAGCTGTGGGAAGATAAACAAGAGTGATCCCCTTATTCCAACATCCTTGCTGATGTCACTCTCCTTATATGGTTTCACTTTGTATTTTGCTGTATTACAAATTTGTCTGTTATTTTAGATTCATTCAGAACAATATGCTATAATTTCCACACCATGTAAGAAGTAAATCAGACAGGCACTCCCTATTTATTAAAATGTTCATTTGTACGTTACAGTTAACTGAAATCATATAGGAATCATTAACATTTTTGTTTTCTCAACCTATATCTAAATGATAAATTACAAAAAATTATTTCAAAATATTTGCATTGTATATAACTCATATTTTACAACATACATGGTTTTACTTTATTTCAAAGTCTAATGCTTTTCTTTGCTTCTAAAGAGTGAATTGCAGCCTTTTTATTTGCTGTGAAAATAGCATCAATATATTAATAGTAACACATTATCTTTACTGTCTTTACATAATCATTAAAAAAATTTTACTAGAGCATTTTCTTAATGTCTGTAGTGCATTTTCTGTAAAATTTTACTGCCATACAGTAGACATCAATGATTCCAAGTATGTGCGCTCCATAGGTGCACAATCACAGGTGAACTCGGTAGTTACCTAGAAAAAGGTGTTATAATGATATATCAATGTTGCATACAGAATTTTATAGGTAAATGTTTATCTTGTCTTGCAATTCCTAATTACTGTGTTTTTAGTAAGGATACATTTATAGGCAGTTTATTGTGTTTCTGTTTTACCTATGTATTATAATTTTGAATGACAATTTGCAACTCTGTATATATACTTTAAATCAAGGTGGGGTTTAATTCAAAGATGAATTAACCAGCTGTCTATCACTGTTAAATTATACATATGTATGTGCATGGTTGTCTCTATAAATATAACACCAACTTTGTTTATGGTTCATCTTGTGTATTTCTCCTCTTGGCTGATTTTTTTTTTTTTTTTTCGACGGAGTCTGGCTCTGTTGTCAGGCTGGAGTGCAGTGGTGTGATCTCGGCTCACTGCAACCTCTGCCTCCCAGGTTCAAGCGATTCTCCTGCCATAGCCTCCCAAGTAGCTGGGATTTCAGGCGTGCACCACCATGCCCAGCTAATTTTTAAATTTTTAGTAGACAGGGTTTCACCATGTTGGCCAGGCCTGGGTCTTGAACTCCTGACCTCAGGTGATTGGCCTGCCTCAGCCTCCCAAAGTGCTGGGATTACAGGCGTGAGCCACCACGCCCAGCCCGTCAAATATAGTATTATTTTTTGTTTCTAGATATCCCATATAAGTGTATTCAGACAACCTGTCTTGTTGTGACTGCCTTTATTTAGCATGTTAAGATTTTGATTTTATATGTTACATATGCTGATTTTGCAAAGCTGAGCAATATTCTATTTTTATATTCCAAATTTTATTTATTCATTTAAGAAAGTTTAAGCTGCTTTAGCCTATCAGCTTTTGTCAATAATGCTGCATGGGTGTGCAAACAACTCATTTGACCACACATGTGTAGCTGTATTTCTAAGTTTTCTATTGTTTTATTGTTCTTGTTGTGTGCATTTATGCCAGCACCAAATTCCTTTAGCTACTGTAGCTTCACAATGTATTCCAAAATCAGGAGGTGTGACACCCCCGATATTGTTCTTGATATTTCAAGATTGTTGAGTCTTCTTGGTCTCTTTGTAGTCTGTATAATTCTGGGGTTGCTTTTTTATTTCTGCAAAAATAAACTGAGAATTTGGAAAGGACTGTATTGAATCTGTAGACCACTTTATGTAGTCTGGACATCTTCATAATATTAAGTATTCCCACCCTTGAAGAAAAGCATGTTCGAGGGTGTATTGTTTAACTCCCATATATTTGTGAATGTTTCATTTTCTATTTTATTCAATTTTGGTTATAAAGAATAAGCAGTAATATTTCAATTTAAAAAAAGGTGTTAAGACTTGTTTCATGGCCTAACGTCTTCTATCAAGAATATTTTCTGAAATATTGAAAACATTGTGTATTTTGTTGGATGAGGTGTTCTCTACGCATGTTGAATTTGATTTTTATAGTGTATTCAAGTCTTCTGTTCACTGTGTATTTCTTGCTTCAATGTCATCAATGTTTGCTTTATAAACTGGAAACCCTGATGTATGATATAGATGTATAACTGGAAACCCTGATGTGTGATGTAGATGTAGATACAGGTATAAGCACACACACAGGAATCCACACACAAACAACATATACAATTTTTATAGGTTTCCAATGAATGAACCTTTGTATTATTTAATGTCTTTTTTATCCTGTAGTTTTGAATTAAATTTTATAAAATATGATAATGATTGACTTAAAGTCTTTTGTCACAGTGACTACTTCTGCTCTCATTTGGCTAACATTTGCATGGAATATCTTTTTCCATCCTGCTTTTAGTCTATCTTTGTGATTGGATCCAGTGATTCTCTTGTACACAGAATATAGTTGATGCTGTTAATACAATTTTTAGAATCTCTTCATGAAATATGTCTTTTGATTGGGAAAGTTAGTCCATTAATATTTTTAAAGTATTCTGAAATGGAACTTACTATTATTATATTAATCATTGTTTTATTATTGTAGCCATTTTGTTCCTTTTTCATCTTTCTTGCTGTCTCACTGATTTCTCTGGTGATATGGTCTGATTTCTTTCTCAATTTCTATGTTGTATTTCTCTAATATTTGTGGTTATCATGAAGATTACAAAAATCTTCTTAAAATTACAATATATTTTGAATTGGTAAGATATTCAGATGCATAGTTTTTTTCAGTATGTCTGCTCTCAACTTTGTAAGTCACAAATTATATTGTCATATTGTGTTTATAACTACTTTCATGTTTTTGTCTATCAAATTTTGAAAATAGAATTGTTTTCTGTATTATAATTTTAATACAATTTCCTGTTATGTGCATGTCTTTATTAGAGAGTTATATGTTTTTTATATAATGTAGGTTTTTTCTAGAATTTTATTTTCAGTGGAAGAGACACCCCTAAGCATTTTCAGTAAGGCAGATATACTAGTGATGTACTTTTACTGCATTTTGTTACTTTGGAATTTTTTTTGAAGAATTTTCCTAGTTATAGTATTCTTGCTTTGAAAGTTTTTGTTTCAGCACTTTGACTATATCACTTAACTTTTTTTCTGGCCTGCAAGGACTGTGTTGATAAATCCACTGCAAATCTCAATGAAGCATGCTATAGATGACACAACAGGTTTATCTTACTGCTTGCTTCCAAGATTCCTTTTGCCTACGACTTTTAAAATTTTGCTTATAATCTGTCTTGTTATGAGTAACTTTGTGTTTATCTTAGCCAAAGTAATTTAAGCTTCTTGATATTTTACAAGTATTTTGTTTGAGAATTTCTGTCTTTATGACTTACTGTAGTCTTCAGCTCCATAATTTTTGAAGGTTTTTATAATTTTTTGTGATATTCTCATTTTGCTGCTTTCATTCAGTTGTCTATGTTCCCATTTCATACACTGAGCATCATTTAGATGGTTATTTTGAATATTTTCAAGTAATTTGTATATCTCAATTTTTTAGGGTTCATATCTGGAAATTTATTGTGTTTTTTTGGCCATGTTACTCTGGTACTCTGTTGTCATCTTTCATTGTGATTTGAGCATTAACAGAAAGCTGTCACAGTCTTTATAAAGTGGTTTGGAGTCTGACACCAATTGACCAGGCTAGAGATTCTGGAGGTTTCTAAAGCCTGTTCTCAGGCTGTGTCTACTCTGGGATTGTGTGTTTATTTTCTTTCTTCAGAAAGAAGTCAGAAGTTTACTTCTATAAGCATCATGCTGCATTGGAGAGGAAGAAGGGCTGTGGTGGGTAAATGCAACAAATTTTCCTTCCTCTACTATTTGGCTTTTGGCATTCTGCTTGCCTGGGGTGCTGCAAACTCTTGATTTTTAAACTTATCACAATGGAATTTTGTTCAGGATATTTTTGTTAAGTGTATATGTATATGAAGAAATTAGGGCCTATGATTTTTATTGTGTCATTTTGCTAATGTGCTTGACATAACTTTATACATTAGGTTTCTAACACGTACTCACCTGAATCTAATAAGTGAGGTAATTTATTTTCCCTTTTCCCAGATGTGTATTCTCATTTTATGGAAGACATGTTGCCAGAGTAAAGCACAATATATTCATCTTGAAATGTAATACTGAGAAGATATGGAAGTTATGGAAGTTGTGGCCTTCAGAATTGACACTTACGGAGAGACTAGAACAGCGTGGGTGAGTTGTGAGGGGCAGGAAGCATGTCTTAATGGACTTAACCAATTTTCGTCAACTATTCACAGTAAAATCTTTCAATGTACAAAATTTAATAATCTGATAAACAATAAACAAAATATTTGAATAGGCATTTTTCATAAGACGTACAAAGGGCAGACAGGCATACGAAAAGGTGCTCAACATTTTTGATCATCAGACAAATGCAAATCAAAACTACAATGAGATATTACGTGACTCAGTTAAATGGCTTATATCCAAAAGGTAGGCAGTAACAAATGCTGGAGAGAAGTGGAGAAAGGGAGCCCTTGTATGCTGTTGACAGGAATGTAACATTTTGAAAATTCTTCAAAACAACTAAAAATAAAGCTACCATATAATTCAGGAATGCCACTCCTGAGGATTCACTTACTAGAAAGGAAATCCATACATTGAAGAGATATCTACCCTCCCATGTTTGTTACAGCAGTGTGCTCCAGCCAATATTTGGAAGTAACCTGATGTCCATCAAGAAATGACTGGATAAAGAAAACATGGCACATATACACAATGGAATACTATTTAGCCATAAAAAATAAGATCCTATTATTTGCAACAACATTGATGGAACCATAGATTAAGTGAAATAAGCCAGGCACAGAAAAACAAACTTTCCATGTTCTCACTTATTTGTCGGAGCTAAAAATCAAAACAATATAACTCATGTAGGTAGAGGTAGTTGCCAGAGGCTGGGAAGGGCAGTGGGGAATGTAGGGGACGGTAGGGATGGTTAATGAGTACAAAAAAAAAGAAAGAATTAGTAAGACCTAGTGTTTGATAGTACATCTGGGTGACTATAGTCAATAATAATTTTAATTGTACATTTTATAATAACGAAAAAAGTAAAATTAGATTGGTTGTAACACAAAGAATAAATGCCTGAGGGGATGATGGATACCCCATTTTCCATGATGTGATTCTTTCTTTCTATGCCTGTATTAAAGTATCTCATATATCACATCAATATATCTCCAACTAAGTACCCACAAAAATAAAAAATTTAAACCAATTCAAAATGCCAGAATTTCTATACATTAACTATAAACTACCTGAAAAAGTCAAGTAAACAATTTTATTTATAATAACTACAAAAAGTTTACTCATAAATGTAACCAAAATGGTGAAAGATTTCTATATTAAAATTAAAAAACACTGAGTAGAAAAACTTTCTAAATCACAAATAAATGGAAAGATATTTCTGGTTCATTGATTGGCAGAATTAATACTGTTAAAATGTCTACACTGAGCAAAACAATCTACAGATTCAAAGCAGTCTCTTATCTGTATACAAATGAAATTATTTAGAATATTTCAAAAATTCTAAAGTTCATATGGCATCACAAAAACACTAAACAGCAACAGAAATTAAGCACAAATAATACAGCTGGAAGCATTACACTACCTTTGAAATACACTACAAAGCTTTAGGAATTGATACAGTATGATAACTGGTTTAAAAAGAGAAACATAGGTGAATAAAGCAGAATGCAGAGCCCAGAAACAAATTCATAAAATTTCAGGATCTTACACAAAGGTGACAAGAACACACAGTGGGGAAAGGACAGTTACTTCAAAAGTGGTGTTATGAAAACTGAGTATCTCCAGGCAGAACAATGAAATGAGACCCTCCACCAACATAAATCAAAGACTCAAAACTCTGGAACTGCTACAAAAAACAGAGTGAAAGCTCCATGACATTGGTGGGGACAATAATTTTTTCTTATTTATTTCACCTCAAAATCCCAGCAAACAAAAGTGGAAGTAGACAAATGAGATTACTTGAAAACTGAAAAGCTTCTACACAGCACTAGGTACAACCAACAGAAGAAAAATAACGTATAAATAAGAGAAAATATTTATGAGTTATATATCTGACAAAGGGTTACTATCCAAAATAGACAGGAAACTCAAACAACTATAGAACAATAAACAAGTAACTATTAAAATGGGTGAAAGATGTAAATAAACATTTCTTAAAGGAAGACATACAAATGGTAAAAAATATATGAAAAAAATGCGAGGTAAATTATCATAAGGCTAATCTAAGGTTAAGGCTAATCTAAGGTTAGGACTAATCTAAACCTCTATTAGATAACAACTCACTACTGTTAGAATGACTATTAATAAAAAGCCAAAAAAATAATTATTGGCAAAGATGTGGAGCAAAGGGAATGCTTGCGCACTGAATGTAAATCAGCGTAGCCATTATACAAAACAGTATGGAGATTTCTCAAACATTAAAAGCTGAACTATCATATGATACAGCAATATCATTATTGGGCACATATGAAAAAAATCAAGTATGTGAAAGAGACATCTGTGCTGTTATGTTTATTGCAGCACTATTCACAATAGCCAAGATATAAAATCAAACTCAGGGTTTATTATCAAATAAAATGATAAAGAACATGTGGCATACATCCATTCTGTACGAATGGATTATTATTCAGCCTTAAAATAGAAAATACTGTCATTTTCAATTACATGGATGAACATGAAGGAGATTATGTTAATTGAAATAATCCAGACACAGAAAGACAAATACCTCATGATTTTGCTCATATGTGGAATTTTAAAAAATTGATCGCATTGAAGTAGAGACTAAAATAGTGGAACGAGAGGCTAAGATATTTTGGAAGGGGATTGGGTAGATGTCTTTCAAAGAATATATAATTAGTTAGATTAAAGGAATAAGTTAAAAAAATCTGTTGTAAAGCCTGGTGACTATAGTTAATGATGACATACTGTTATGTTTTAAAAATACTGATATAGTCAATGTTAAGTGTTCTCCATCACAAAAATGATAACTATATGAGGTAAAGCACTTGTTAATTAGCCAGAATTTAATATTACACAATGTATGCATGCTTTAAACCACATTTTACATGACAATACATATAATTTTATCTGTCAATTTAAAAAATGTAGAAACATGAAAAGGTAGTGTTTCAAATAATCAGTCTGTGTCTTATTCATAAGCTTAGCAGAGTAGTATCAAAATATATAGTTTTTGTGATGTTTTTGTCATTTCATTTGTCAGTCATAAGCATAGAAACTCAGATATTTACCAGCATGTGCAAGAACCAGCACAGTGCCTGGGAGAATCCTATGTACTTTAGAGCTTTTACTTTGAGCTCCAGGTACCTGGAATTCCTGGTATAGAAGACACTAAAAAGGCAGGTGCTGCTAATGGTTTCGCCTCTGGCCCTTCTGTAAACACTGAAAACAAGTTTGCTTCCAAAATCACTGAGAAAATGTTTTAATCCAAAAGCCTGCCATTGTCTTTGAGATTTCTCTAAAGAGAACGACCTAGAATTTGGCTGTAATTAGGTGTCTGAGAATAAAAACTGTGGACTGTAACTGTGCCCATTCAAATAAAAGAAGTTATAATAATATGAGTGAGAAATTTCCCAAGATGGCAATACGAATCCGCAAAAAAGATTATTCCAAATTTTAAACCCACAAAGATTATTTTATTTTTGTCCAAAACTTATTATACCCACTCAACAACAGAAGATTCTGCATGGAAACATAAGCGGTGGGATAAATATTTCATAGAAATTTGAATTTAAAATATTTTACTTACCACTAACTCTCCTTAATACAATTTTATTTCTAAGACATGTCTCTAATGGGATATCCAAATTTTGATTTGTTTTCTTATGTAGCACTAATAATACATGGCCCACTGGTATTAATACTTCACTTAGTCTAATTTGATATTTACCATTCTTTGTGTTATAATATAATAATGTTTAACAATGCTATCTGTCCAACGATCTAATCCATGGATACTGCGTTATCTTATCTAAATTAAGTGACAAGAATGTTGCATTTGTAATCTATAAATGACCTCAAATTCTCCAGCTACAAAGAATTTTTAGGCACATTAAAAATAATTCTAACTTGTCCTCAGAACCTGCAGAGTACTGTGTGAAATAACATGGGGTGGGGAGAACAGTGAGCAAGATGTTGCCATAAGACAGGCAAAGAAAGAGAAGGGCTGTAATGCATATGTATTTGGGGGTGAAGATAAAAAGACAGTGAAAGAAAAACTGAAGATAATTAGAAAATAAAAGAAGCAGAATTTATCTGTCTAAATTTAGAGTTAGTTGTGCAGCCTGACTACAGATTTCCTCTCTCACCATGCAAAACCAATGCCACTTCTTCACTCTGGGTGTTTTTAATCTCTTATATGAAGATACAAACTCACTCGAGCAGAAATATTTCCTGATAATTGTAAAGCATTTGTTACACACCTAGCACCGTCTTGTGTTTGTTTACTTCATACAAATGGCAAGAAAATCCCATGGCTTATGAAGCCTCCCGAGTTTTTACCTTAAAAGCATGGCTCAATAAATTCAATAATTATATCAAATATGTCTACTATAAAACATGAAAGAAACAGTAATAAAAACATTTTGCTTAAATAGAATTCTCTAATTGAAAAGATTAAATATACTAATTAAATAATAAAATTTAACAATATACTCACTGCAAAATTACTCAGATCTTCAAATTATTTAGTTAGCACCATTACATTTTACCGAAAGAGCTATAATCATTAGGCAGGTCACATAAAGAATACTTCATGAACTTTGAAAGAAGAAAATTGTATATTAGGTCTAGCATGAATAGAAGGCAAGCTAGAACAAAGGGTTTGGATGGGGAGATTCTGAACCACAAGATTTTAGAGATGAATGGAAAGCAGAGGAAATAAATTTGCTTTCAGAATCTGTGAGGTTTTAGTTTGCTAGTATATCATAAACACTCATGAAATCATCTGCTTTGTTCTGATATATTTTCCTACTCAGAATAGGTCCACACTCACATAAAAACAATTACTTCTCCAATTCTTTTATATCTGAAGTTTATCTTTAGAGTAATATATTTAGAAATTTTACACCATGTAAATTAAAACTAAAATTTTGTGTTTGTAGAACCAGAGATAACATGTTCAAAAAAATGTAGGCTGAATTTTCTAAATAGTTATTCAGAATTCAGAAATGTAGGGCTTTTGATTATACTCCTATATAATCTTCAGTATAACCATCACAATAACTTCACAGTTACAAAATAAATAAAAATGTAACACGTGGGAACAATATTCTCTAAATTATTTGAAGTATAAGGCCACTGGGAAAAAGAATCACTACAGATGTTATTCCACCATATTACTTAATGGTATAGTCTTACCATGTTTTACCTACAAGCCTGAGTAAGGTAGAATAAGTTAATGTTGACAGCAGGATGACACTTCAATCAATGCACAAGACCCTTAACATATTAAAAATATTTTTTATTTGTTAAAACAAATAAAGTTTACAAATAATCTGAGACATATCAAAATCCACTCTATTTTATTAGTTTTATGTGCATTTGGTGAAACAATTTTCTTCTAAATTTTACAGTGTTTATTAATAAAATGCAGAGGATATGCACTGAACACCTACCTCATGCATCGCTTACAACACTGTTATCACTTAACCACAAACAGCCTCTCCACTTAGATTTTCTTCATGTATCTTACATTTCCAGGTCCTTAATCTTTTATGGAGAAGTATATAAATGATGACCACCTAATACAGAAGGACCGCTCAGAGCTGTAATGCATCAAACATTGACCACATGCTTCCATATAAACATTAGGAATAAAGGCAAAGCACTAAGTTATTCGAAAGTTTAATTATATCAATACTTGCTATTCAAAACATTTAAAATTATTTTAATGCAAATAATTACACTCAATATAATTTTAAATCTTCAAGAAGCAATCTCCTACTACTTTTATCCTACATACAAATAAATTATCCAATTATTTTAACTTTGGATTATTCTCTATAATGAACACTCTGAATAATTTAACTCATGACAGGATTCATACAATTAACCTTTTAAACATTTGTCTTATAGTTTACATCACATTGATTACCCTTTTATCAGATCTCAGTAGCACCAAAAACCTGACAATGGTATAGACACTGCCCACTAGCCTCTAGACACCACGGTCATATGCCCATGGCAACGTTGAGGAGGTTGAGATGATGAAGTCCATCTTGTACATGCCCACCGAGAAACTCACCGGCAGCAGGATGTGCTGATGGCTCCTGCCTCTGCAAAGATCCTTAGGTAGAGGCTGGGGCTGTGAAGGTACCAGGATCTCCTGTAGTTCCTGAATGAGAGTCATCATGTAGACACTTGAGAACAGCATTATCTGTTTAAGAAAAACATCTCTGAATAATGACAGAGTGAAAAACAGTCCTCTGATTATGGAGTTTATTGGGAAAAGTGAACAGTATTTACTGACATGCAAATTGATCTGGGTCACATTGGAAGAAGCCACAGTGTAAAAGATCAGGCTACTACTAACAGGAAAACTGAGAGACCATGAGAACAAATGGAAGGTAAAAATTGTGGATTTCCATTTAAACCTCACCAACCAGGAAATGCTGGGGCTGATGTTGACGACCTGCAGCATGCCCAGGAGGCAGGTGGTACAAATGGAGAGGACCCTGATCACCCTCCTCAGGTAGAAAGATGCCTCATATTTGAAGTCATTCTGAAAATTCAGTGATTCAAAGAGCTGTGGAGACAAGAACACCATGGTGAGAAGGACCACCATGTGGATGAGGGCCACATGACAGACTGGTAGGTAAGTGCGCTCTGGCCTGAGATCCAGAAAAAGCAGAAAAGGAGAAGACGCAGAAAAGAAGGAGAAAAGTGTTGGCTGAGATGCCAATACCAGCTTAGAAATGAAAGGCATTTTTCATGGGAACACAAGTGCAAAGTAATCATCTGAATTACAAAGACAAACATACTTTGTACATCAAAATATGAAGTATAAAAAACATTTTGTACTTCACATCATCTGTATTATATATTCTATGGCCAAAATTATCATAAACATTATTTTTATTCCACTAATTTTTTTCTTAATTAATCCTATCATATAAATCCTTGATATATATAGTGTATGTGTGCATGTATGTATATATAATTTGATGTATAATGTTGAGAATGTATTTTGAAGAATGTATATGAAAAACTGGCTCACTTTTTACAAAGCATTTCTTAATGAAGAGTGATGGTTACATAACAATAACTCACATGTTTGTATAGTTGAGCTAAAGTAAATTTTATGTTAAGGGAAAATAATCACCTAAAGAAAAAGTTGAAAAAAAAGTTTAACTGACTCACATCACAGTACTCAGTTTCTCTTATTATTTCTTTCACTTTTAAGAATGCTTATAATTACATTAGGCCCAAATCTGTAATTCAAGTTAATGTTTTTGTTTTAGAGTCAGCTGGTTATCAACCTTGATTTCATCTGCAGCCTGAATTCCCATTTCTCATATACCATAATACATGCCTAGAACCTGGTGGTTAGACATGGGGACCTTTGCATGGCATTATTCCACTTACCACAAGTCCTATTAAACGAATCCCTTAAAATAATTCTGGCTCTGTTCAAGTTTTGTTTTTATCCCAGAGAAATCTCATGAAAGCTTTATTTCATCTCAGGAGGAAATTGCTAAAATCCAGTTTTCAATGCTACAAGTACATGGACTACCTTTTTCTACTTTATGGGATCCATGAATTTGCATTAAGTGATAATTTTCTTGATGCTTCACTTTATACAGAGATACCCTTCCATGGAAGATACCCTTCCATGGAAAGATGCCTTTCCAAGCCTTGGAAAAACACCAAGGTCACTAATAGTAAAGATAATTCTCCATCTCTTAATCATGATATCTCTGTATGAGAACCCTTCATAAAATTTTATTGAATAATTCTGCAATTACTTTCTTCTTTGCCCTGAATACAGTCATCACTATTGTATCCAACTAATTCAGCCCGCAGCTTAGAATAATAGAGCTCTGGCTCATGCCTATAATTCCACCGCTTTGAGAGGCTGAGGCAGGGACATTGCTTCAGATAAACAGTTTGAAATTAGCTTGAGCAACACAGTGATACCCTGTGTCTATCAAAAATAAGAAAGAAATTAGCTAGGCATGGTGGCACGTACCTGTGGTCCCAGTTACATGGGAAGCTGACATGGAAGGATCACTTGAGCATAGGATCTTGAGGCTATAGTGAGCCAGTGAGTTGTGATGGTACTAATGCACAAACCACAAATATAAATGTGCAAGGCAATGAAGATGATTTGACAGTATTTTTTACCTCATACTCAGAAATTAACATCTGAGTTAGAAAACTGCTAACCAATTTTAAACCACCTGATATGGATGAGTTTACAAAAAGGAAATTGCATAGTTTATATATCAGTTTTTATTTTTTCTCCTAACACATAATCTAGTATAAGTACACATTTATCTCAATGTCCAGAACCAAACAATGGATAGTTGCCACCAAAATATACTGATGCCATCAACATGATATGGTTCTTTTGTCATGTTAAACCTAAAAGAAGCTCCAGGATAGTATCAGATTAAAGCCATAATAATCTCCATATATTAAATACTGCAGTCTAGTTCCAGAAAATAAACATGGACAATTAATATACAAATAACTACTTACTACTTATGTAGAAATCACTTTTACTAAATATACTGTATGTATTAAAAGTTATATCACAGAAAGAGGTAATACAATTAGATAAAACAACATACGTAAGAATTCTATTTTTTCTCCCCATAAGGTATCCAGATCACACACTTTAATTCATGCCACACCCTCTCTAATGACTACTACATACCGCAAAAGAATGTATCTGCTAATTATCAAACTTTATTTTTCTCTAATGAAGGTTTTCAGGTCATTAATGCTGAGTCTGGAGAAAAGAACAGTGGCTCCCATGAACAAGGGTTGACAAATGTAACACACTTGGTTATATTTGAATTTCAGGTAAATGATGAATTGTTATTTGTATATACTCCAGTAATTGCTTACACATATTATACACAGATATAAAAACATTGCATAGCTATACTAAAAAGTTATTTGTTGTTTACCCCAAATTTAAATGTAACTTATGTTTTCTCTATTTTATGTCACAAATCTGCCACAACTACCATAGAACTATTGTATAATTTGGGACAACATGTTACAAACATGGGAAAACAGAATAAAAGAAAAAATATCAAAGGTTTTATAAAGGCTGAGTGCTGTGACTTATGCCTGTAATTTAAGCATTTTAGGAGGCAGCAGTGGGAGGACTGAGCCCAAGAGTTTGAGACCTGCCTGGGCAACATAATGAGAACCCATCTTCACAAAAAAATTTCAAAAATTAGCCAGGCATTGTACCACCTGCCTGTAGCTCTGGCTACTTGTGAGGCTGAGGCAGCAAGTTCACTTGAGCCTACACGGTCAAGGCTTCTGAGACCCCTGATCAAACCACTGCACTCATTCCTGGGTGTCAGAGTGTGAACTTGTCTCAAAAAAACATCAAAACATGGGATGCAGCAAACTTTTGAGAGAAATTCACAGCAGTAAACACCTACATTAAAAATAAACAATTCTAAATTAATAACCTAATGTTTGGCAAAAATAGTTAAGGGCTAATTAACTACTCATCACACCTTGGAGAAAGAATATCAGTGCGGCAAGCAAAAGTCATGTAGAATATCTAAGAGAAAAGACTGAGGAGTGAGGTGCCTGGGGGATTCGGGCTTTGAAAATTATCCACATATTCCTGAGAATCCAGAAGCCCATAAGCATGTTCAGGGTCAATCAAGGGACAGGCAAATGCTCACAAAGACCTACGAAGCTGTTATCTCTCATGTCTGCTTTACCTCCAAACACTGCACAAGCAGGAAGAAAAGAAAACAGCAAAGTTGTAATCTTTCTGGCTAAGTAAACCCAACTGCAAGAACTAGTAGATTTATATTTGATGTGAGCAGGCATTTGAGAAAATCTCTGTCAAATAACTAGCTCACATGAAGCTAATAAAGCAGAGATTTTTATTGCTAAACACGACAAAAGGATGATATTTTAAAAATAATTTTGAAAACTCACCAAACAAACAAGTAAAATTTACAATAAGCAACAAAAAAACCCAACGGGATGAGAGAGAATATTATTTCAGGGTTGTTGTGATAGAAAAAGTCTAGTTTTCAGCAACAGCAATGAAATACAAAGCGTGCAAATAAATTAATGAAAAAATAATGGCCCACTAATAAGATAACAGATATTAACAGAAACAGTCCTAGAGGAATCGTAGGCATTGAAAAATCTAGAAAAAGTCTTTAAATTACCTGTCTTAAATGTGCTGCAAAGATAAATAACATCAAAAGGAAAAACATTTCAGAAGAATAGTGTCTCATCAAATAGAAAATATTAATAGAGATAGAGATTATAAACTGAAGCCAAACTCTAAAGTTGAAAATTAAGATAACTAAAATAAAAAATTCACCACAAAGGTTCAACAAAAGATTTAAGTAGACGAAAGACACAACCAGCAAGCTTGAGGTCACTTCAATTCGTATTATCCCAACTAGCAGAAATAAAAAATAATGAATAAAGATGAACAGAGTCTAAGATAACAATGGGATACTATAAAATGTGCCATTACAAGCATTATGAAAACTCCCGAAAGAAGGGAGAAAGATAAAATGGGGCAGAAAGAACATCTGAAGAAATAATGGCTAAAAAGTTCCCAAGCATGATGAAATACGTGAATCTACACATTCCAAAATCTCATTGAATTCATAGTATAAACTCAAAGAACTCTACACCAAGACAAATTACAATAAAACTTTCAAAAGCTAAAGAGACAACTTTGAAGAAAGTTATGGAGAAAAGACTACTATTTGCAATGCATCTACACTGACATTAACAACTCACTAAAAACTAGAGTCCAGAATATAATTTCTCACTAAAAACTACGGAGTCCAGAATATGATAGGACAATATATTTAAAGTGTAGAAACAAAAAAAAAAAAAGCCAACAAAGAACTCTATTTTCAGCAAAACTGCTCTTCAAAGATGAAGGACATCCTTGAAGACCTTTGAAGACACTAAGAGCTATATAGATTAAAACAAATTTAACAGCTTGTCACTAGTAGACCTGGTATGCATTAAATGACAAAGGTTATCTTTTGGGTTGAAATGAAATGACAAACTAGGTAATAATGCAAGGCCATATGAAAAAATAAAGAATGCCAGTAAAAATGAGTACATGGCAAAATATAAATGCCACTATTAAAGAATATTTTGTAACTTTTATCTATTGTTCTTTTTTACATGTAATTTAAAATACTAATGCATAAAATAATTATAAATTTTTGTTAATGTCATACAATGCATAAAGATGTAATATGTGACAAAACAACATAACATTGGAGGAGCAGATCTCTATTGAAACAGCTTTTAAAATAAAACTGAATTATGAGCGGTATTAATTTAAAGTACAGTTACACAGTGATGAGATTAATTGTCATCCTTAAGGTAGCCACTAAAAATACAACTAAAGAAAGAAGTGAAAGAGGAAATGAGAAGAGAATCAAAACTGTTTTGGAAAAATACTAGAACATTAAAGATGTCAGTAATATAAGAGTTAATTAACAAAAATATACAAGACTTTAGAAAACAACTAGAAAAATGGCAGAAGTGTGCCCTTCCTTATAAATAGTTTAAATAGAAATTAACATCTACAATTACAATGCAAAGATTGGCAGATGGTTTAAAAATAAACAAAAACCTGAACTAACTTTATGTTATCTATAGGAGAATCTCTTTAGTCCTAAACTCACAAATGGGTTGAAAGTGAAAGGATGGGTAAAAAGATTCCACACAAATAGTAAGCAAAATAAGCTGGGGTGGTTACCCTTAGACAAGATAGGCATTAAGACAACATTGCTATAATTAATTGACATAGGAAATTTTATGTTAAAAAATTATAAATCTATCAAGAAGATAAAATAGTTTTAAATATGCATGTACCTAACAAAGACCCCAATATATGAAGCACAAATGGCAGAATGGTAGAAGTAGAAAATTCTCAATGTGAACTGCTGACTTTAATATACCAACTAGACCTAACGGACAAATTCAGAAACACCTAATCAAAAACCTTGAAATGAGCAAAAATTGATTTCATTTTCACATTGTTTTCAAGCAAGCAATTTAACCACCTTGCTATTTTATGGCATGCTTATTTTTTAAAAAAAAGTTATGATGAAATATGCATAACATCATACTCAATACAAAGTTTCTGGTATATTTATAATTATGCAACTATAGCCATGGTATAACTTTAAAATATTTCCACTATCAGGACTAGACAATCATTACTGATTTCCCTTTTATGGACATTCCATTTTATCACCTTTATTGTTTGGTTTGGTTTCGTTTTTGAGATGGAGTCTCTGTCATGCAGGCTTGAGTGCAGTGGTGCGATCTCAGCTCACTGCAACCTCTGCCTGCCTCGCGGGTTCAATAGATTCTCCTGACTCAGCTTCCTGAGTACCTGGGATTACAGGCGCCCACCACTGCACCTGGCTAATTTTGTTTTTAGTAGAGACATGGTTTCACCATGTTGGCCAGGCTGCTCTCGAACTCCTAACCTCAGGCAATCCACCTGCCTCAGCCTCCCAAAGTGCTAGAATTAAACGTGTGAGCCACCATGCCTGGTCCATTTTTATTACCTCTTTATTATTGTGGTATGATTACTATTTTGTATAAATGGGATGATACACTGTATTATGTTTTGTGTCTGGTTTATTTCACTTAATGCATGTGAGGTCAGTTATGTCATTTTTTTTTTTACTAATTTTTTGTATATTTTAGAAAATGCATTTAGAAGAGAATAAAAAACTTTTAAAATAACTTCCATATTTCTCAATGTTGTGCATTTTTTTCAAAAAATAAGCAAATATTTTATTTTTTTGGTTTCTTTGAGACAGATCTTATTCTATCACCATGGCTGGAGTGAAGTAACATGATCATGGCTTACTGCAGATTCTACCTCCTAGGCTCAAGTAGTCTTCCCACCTCAGGCTACCAAGTATCTGGGACCACAGCTGCACACCACCATGCCCAACTAATTTTTAAATTTTGTGTATAGATGGGGTCTCATTATGTTGCATGGGCTTGTCTCAAACTCCTGCGCTCATGAGATTCTCCTGCCTAGGCCTCCCAAAGTGCTGGGATTACAGGTGTGAGCCACCACACCCAGCCTATTTTTTTCTAAGGACAGGGTCTCATTCTGTCCTCAGCTCAAGTGCTGTGGCGTAATCATAGCTGAGGGCAGACTCAATGTACTGAGCTCAAGTGATCCTCCCTCACTGACCCAAAGTGCTGGGATTACAGGCATCAGCCACCATGTCCAGCCTGAAATAATATTTTAATTAAACATTAAGAAAAATAGAAGAAATAAGATCTAGTGTTTCGTAACACAATAGGACAACTATAGTTAACCGTAATTTATTGTATAAAAGATAGAATTGTTGAGTAAGGTGTGAGCACCAGTTTAGGGTTTTGGCACATTCTTTACACTTGAAGAGTTTCTATCTGGTATGAATTATTTGATGTTGAGTATGGGTTGAGTGTCTGTTAAAAGCTTTGCCACATTCTTCACATTTGAAAGGTTTCTTTCCAGTATGAATTCTCTGATATTGAGAAAGGTGTGAGCTCCTGGTAAAAGCTTTGCCACATTCTTTACATTTGAAGAATTTCTCTCCAGTGTAGATTCTCTGATGTTGAGTAAGGTGTGAGCCCTAGATAAAAGCTTTGCTGCATTCTTTACATTTGAAAGACTTCTCTCCAGTGTGGATTCTCTGATGTCGAGTAAGGTGTGAGCCCCTGTTAAAGGCTTTGCCACATTCTTTATGTGTGAAGTGTTTCTCTCCAGTATGTATTCTCTGATGTTGAGTAAGGTGTGAAGCTCTGTTAAAAGCTTTGCCACATTTTTTGACACTTGAAAGGTTTCCCTCCAGTGTGAATTCTCTGATGCTGAGTAATGTATGAGCTTCTATTAAAGGCTTTGCCACATTCTTTACATTTGAAGGCTTTCTCTCCAGTATGGATTATCTGATGTTAAGTAAGGTACGAGCCTCTGTTAAAAGCTTTGCCACAGTCCTTACACTTGATAGGTTTCTTTCCAGTATGGATTCTCTGATGTTGAGCAAGGTGTGAGCTCTTCTTAAAGGCTTTGTCACATTTTTCACATTTGTAAGGTTTCTCTCCAGTATGAATTTTCTGATGTCCAAGTTGTAAGCCCCTGGTAAAAGCTTTGCCACGTTCTTTACATTTTACTGATTTCTCTCCAGTGTTAATTATCTTATGTCTCTTCAGATGTGACTGACTAAAGACTATTATACATTTTTTATTACATCTTTGTGAGCTCTCTCCAATATAAGTTCTTCGATGTTGAGTAAGTTTTGAGGATGGGTCAGAAGTTTCACCACATTCATTAGGGTTGTAAGGCTTTTCTTGAATATGGATACTTTGAGGATTGATAAAACACTTTCTCACATTCATTACATTTGTAATAGTTTTCTACAAAATGAGTATTCTGATGTTTACTAATATTTGAGTCATGGCTAAAATTTATCTGATTTTTATTACAAAAGACAGATTCCAAAAATTGATGTTGATATTTACTCACAGGAATACACGGTTCTGTAGGAGTAGCTGGCAGAAACTGAGGCTTCTTCAGAAATATTCTATGTTCTTCATCTCCTTTCACAGTTAAATTTTTGTTATGAGAAGTTGTCAAATATTGGCTACATAAATTATAACATTCTTTTTGTCCTTCACCTATACTTTCCCAGTTTTTCCATAAGCATAAATTTTCAAGGCCACAGCTCCCATATCTTCCCAGTGTTGCTTTTCCTAGTGTTGCTTTTTTGAATGACTCTTCTATGCCTTGCTCTGGTAAAATGCCTTGGTTGTAATAAGAATATATAGCTCAAAGTAGTAAAAATAACTAATTATTCTACATACTGAATTTAGCTGAATATACTTTACAAATCTAATATGAAATTTTACCAAGCTGAGAACATGAGCACAATGCCATAGTAGAAAACCAACAGAGGACAGAGCAAGATGGCTAAATAGAAGGCTCCAGTGATCATTTCCCCTGGAAGGACACCAATATAACAACTATCTATTAAAAAACAAACAAAAACGTTCATAAGAATAAAGGCGAGCACTCACAGTACCTGGTTTTAACCCTGCAGTACACAAAGAGGCACTAAAACAGGGTAGGAAAGACAGTCTTGAATCACTAATGCCACTCCTCACTCATGCCCTGGCAGTAGTCACATGCTATGTAGACAGAATCTGTACACTTGGGAGAGGGAGAGCACTGGGATTGTGAGCATTGAACTCAGTGCTGCCCCATCATAGCAGAAAGCAAAACTGGAATGAACTCAGCTGATGCCTGCCCACAGAGGGTGTGTTTCAACTGGCCCTGGACAGAGGGGAATCACCCTCCCAGTGATTGGAACTTGAGTTCTGGCAAGCTTCACCACCATAGTCTAAAATGCTCTGGGGCCCTAAAGAAACTTAAAACAGTCTAGGTCACAAGGACAGCAACTCCCAGGTGTCATGCTGAACTGGGCTTAGAGCCAGTGGACTTGGGGGCCACATTACCTACTAAGATACAAGCTGGGGCAGCTAAGAGAGTTCTTATACCACCCCTCCTCCAAACTGAGGCTGCACAGCTCACAGATTCAAGAGACCACTTCCATCTACTTAAGAAGACAGAAAGAGTAAACAGGACTTTGTCTTGTATTTTGGATACCAGCAAGGCCACCAGTCAGAGTTATAAAACACCCTTCTCAGCCACTAGCTCCTAATTAAAATTTCTAGGTACATACTGGACTATAAGGAAATCTGCTGCCTTGAATGAAGAAATCCGGTACTAACAAGACCCATCAACTGCTAAGTAAAGGGCCCTTGGCCTGGAATAACCTGCAGTGATAACCAGGTAGTTTGCTGTGAGCTTTCATTGAGACTCTGAGGCTTGCTAGAATCAGGTGAGACTCGGCACATTCACAACTGTGGTGGCTACAGGGAGACACTGAAAAAGGTAGAGGAAAAACTAGAGAACTTCATCTTGCAACTTAGGTCCCAGCATGGCCAAAGAGAGGAAGAGCACCAGTGGGCTCTTGGGGTCCCTTATTCCAGGTCTTGGCACTTGGATGGCACTTCTGGACCTGTACTGGGACAGAAGGGACACCACTGACCAAAAGGATGAGTACCAGGCCAAGCATCATTCACTATAAGTGAACTAAAGAGCCTTGAACCTTAAGAGAACATTGGTGGAAGCCTGGCAGTATTCCCGATGGGCCTGTGGTGATGGCAGCAATAGGATGAGGCCCCTCTGCCTGTTGAGTAAGGAGGGAAAAATGGGAAGAACCGAATTTCATGGTTTAATTGCTAGCTCTACCACAGTACAATAGAACACAAAGTAGACTCCTAAGGTTATTGACTCCAGCCCCTGGCTCCTGGATGGCACCACTGGGCTTGCCCAGAACCTGAGGGGACTCACTACTCTGAAGGAAAGGATACAAACCTGGCTGGCTTACCACCTACAGATTATAAAGCCCCAAGACCTTGAGCAATTACTGGTGGTACCAGGTAGGGTTACAGCTCACCATGGGTGTGATCAAGTGCTGTGCTGGTTTCAGGTCTGACCCACTGCAGTCCTACTGATAGCAACAGAAGACAAACTCCTAGGCAGACAGGGATGGGTGCACTGGTGAAACTCGACCTTCAAGGAAACAACAGTCTAAAAAGCCTGAAAACTGAGCTACCAGTTCCAGAAAGAATTCATGGACTAGAGTGAGAACTTCCATCCCTGTCTAACCTGCTCTCTATTGGTTCTTTGAGAATGATGCCTTTTAACCAATTGAATGGTGTCTTTTCCAAGCCCACCCATGAACCAATCAGCATGCATTCTCCTGTTTTAAACCCATAAAAATCCCAGACTCAGCCTCACAGATGGCTACCTACTTTCAGGTTCCCTCTTGCTGCTGATAGCAAGACCAGAAAACAAAGAACAAAATGGCAAGAGTAAGTCTTTATATAATCAATAACAACACTGAATGTAAATGGACTAAATTCTCCAATCAAAAGACACAGAGTGGCTAAATGGATACAAAAATTAAGACCCAGCGATTTGTTGCCTACAAGAAACACACTTCACCTATAAACACATAGATTAAAAAGATTTAAAAAAATTCCATGTCAAAGAAAACAAACAAAAATAGCAGTAGTTGCTACACTTATGTCAGACAAAATAGATTTCAAGACAAAACTAGAAGAAGAGACAAAGATGGTCACTCTATAATAATAATGAGTTTAATTCAGCATGAGGATGTAAGAATGTTACATACATATGCATCCAACACTGAAGTACTCAGATATATTAAGCCAGTATTATTAGAGCTAAAGAGAGAGACAGGCTCCAATATAATAATACCTGGAGAATGCAACATCACACTTTCAGCATTGGATAAATCTTCCAGACAGAAAACCAACAAAGAAATCTCAGGCCTAATCTGCACTATAAACCAAATGGACACAATGGATATTTACAGAACATTTTATCCAATGGCTTCAGAATACACATTTTGCTCTGCAGTGCATGAATCATTCTCATGGATAGACCGTATGTTAGGTCACAAAACAAGTCTTAACACATTTTAAAAATTAAAATAATATCAAGCATCTTTTGTGACTACAATAAAAAAACCTAGAAATCAATAACAAGACAAATTTTTGAAACTATACAAACACATAGAATTTAAACAATATGCTCCTGAAAGGCCAGTGGGTCAATGGGGATATTAATAAATAAATTGAAATATTTCTGTAATATGTCACAATGGAAATACTTAGGATTTACAGTAAAAGCAGTACTAAAAGTTTATAACTAAAAGTGTCTACATAAAAAAATTCAAATGAACAACTTCATGACAGATTTAATGCAATTTCCATGAAAATACCACCAGTATTCTTCACAGAACTAGAAAAAAAACCCTAAAATTAATATGGATCAAAAAAGTGCCTACATAGCCAAAGTAATACTAACCAAACAAATAAATAAAAAATATGGGGTCATCACATTACCCTACTTCAAATTATACTACAAGGCTATAGTTATCAAAACAACATGGTATTGGTATTAAAATTTACACACAGACCAATGAAGCAAAATACAGAATCCAGAAATTAAGCCAAACACAGGCAACTAAACTAATCATCAACAAGGCATATAAAGACACAAATTGGGGAAAGAACACCCTATTCAATAAATGGTGCTAGGAAATACTGGCAAGCCACACGCAGAGGAATAAAACTGGATCCCCATCTCTGACCTTATACAAAAATCAATTCAAGATGGATCAAATATTTCAATCTAAGGCCTGAAAGCATACGAATTCTAAATGATAACATAAGAAAAAAAACTCTTCTCGACATTGATTTAGGCAAAGAATTCATGACTAAGACCCCAAAAGCAAATGCAACAAAAACAAACATAAATAAATGGGACCTAATTTAACTAAAAAGCTTCTGCACAGCAAAGGAAATAAGCAGCAGAGTACACAGACAACCCACAGAGTAGCAGAATATATTTGCAAACTACACATCTGACAAAAAGCTAGTATCCAGAATCTATAAGGAACTCAAAGAAATTAGCAAAATAATAATTCCATCAAAAAGTAGGCAAAGAAAATGAATATATATTTTTTCAAAAGAAGATATACAAACAGCTAATAACAACCTAAAAATGCTCAACATCAATAATCAAGGAAATACAAATGAAAACCACAGTTAGATATCAAATAACTCCTACAAAAATGGCCATTTTTTGTAGGCCAAAAAAAGTCAAGAAAACAACAGATGTTGGCATTGGATGTGGTGAAATGGGAACACTTAACAAAATAATGTCATTTGCAGCAACTTGGATGGAGCCGAAGGTCATTATTCTAAGTGAAATAACTCAGAAATGGAAAACTAGATATCGTATGTTCTTACATATAAGTGGGAGCTAATCTATGAGGATGCAAAGGCATAAGAATAATGTAAAAGACTTTGGGGACTCGAGGGGGAAGGCTGGGAGGCGGGTGAGGGATAAAAAACTACATATTAAGTACAGTGTGCACTGCTCAGGTGACAAGTGCACTGAAATCTCAGAAAACACACTAAAGAACTTATCCATGTCATGAAAAACCACCTGTATTTCCAAAACAATTGACACTTAAAAAAAAAAAAACCTAATGACGTATCTTAGAGAGCTAGAAAAACAAGAGCAAACCAAACCAAAATTAGAAGAAAAGAAGTAATAAAGATCAAAGCAGAAATAAATGAATTTGAAATAAAATACAAAAGGTCAATAAAATGCAAAGTTGTTTTCTGGAAAAAAAAAAAAAAAAGAAACCTGACAGACCTTTACTCAGACTAAGAAAAAAAAAAAAAAAAACTCAGCAGGCAGTGGCTCATGCCTGTAATCCCAGGACTTTAGGAGGCTGAGGCGGGCGGCTGGATCACCTGAGGTCAGGAGTTCAAGATCAGCCTGGCCAACATGGCAAAACCCCGTCTCTATTAAAAAACACAAAAATTAGCCAGGCGTGGTGGTGGGCGCCTGTAATCTCACCTACTCAGGAGGCTGAGGCAGGTAGAATTGCTTGAACTCGGGAGGCGGAGGTTGCAGTAAGCTGAGATCGAGCCACTGCACTCCAGCCTGGGCAACAGAGCAAGTCTCCATCTCAAAAATAAATAAATAAATAAAAGAATAAAAGGAAAAGACTCAAATAATATCAAAGATGAAAAAGGAGACATTTCAACTCTACAACTTATACTGCAGGAATTCAAAAGATCATTAGTGAGTACTATGAGCAGATAGATGCCATAAATTGGAAAATCTAGAACAAATGGATAAATTTCTAGACACATAGAACCTAAGAAGATTGAATTATTAAGAAATCCACAACCTGAATACACAAACAAGACGTGATGAGATCCATAATACAAAGCCTCCCATCAAAGAAAAGCCTGAAATCTGATGGTTTCACTGAATTTGACAAAACATGTATAAAACTAATAGCAATCCCACTTAAACTATTTCAAAACAGAGGAGGAGGAAATACTTTCAACCTCGTTCTGTAAGGCAAACATTACTCTCATACTAAAATCAGACAAATGCATATCAAAAAAATCTATAGGCCAATATCAGCAATAGATGCAAAATTTCTCATAAAAATACTGGCAAGTAAAATTCAGCAACAGATTAAAAGTTTATTATTCCTCATCATCAAGTAGGATTTATCTCATGGATGCAAAGATACTTCAACATATGCAAATCAATTAATGTAATATACCATATCAACAAAAGAAAGAACAAAAACCACATGATCATTTTAATTGATCCTGAAAATCATTTGACAAAATTTAATATCTCCTCATGAAAGAAACCCTCAAAACTATAGAAGAAACATACATGCAGCCAAAAAACACATGAAAAAATGCTCACCATCACTGGCCATCAGAGAAATGCAAATCAAAACCACAATGAGATACCATCTCACACCAGTTAGAATGGCAATCATTAAAAAGTCAGGAAACAGGTGCTGGAGAGGATGTGGAGAAATAGGAACACTTTTATACTGTTGGTGGGACTGTAAACTAGTTCAACCATTGTGGAAGTCAGTGTGGCGATTCCTCAGGGATCTAGAACTAGAAATACCATTTGACCCAGCCATCCCATTACTGGGTATATACCCAAAGGACTATAAATCATGCTGCTATAAAGACACATGCACATGTATGTTTATTGCAGCACTATTCACAATAGCAAAGACTTGGAACCAACCCAAATGTCCAACAATGATAGACTGGATTAAGAAAATGTGGCACATATACACCACGGAATACTATGCAGCCATAAAAAATGATGAGTTCATGTCCTTTGTAGGGACATGGATGAAATTGGAAATCATCATTCTCAGTAAACTATCGCAAGAACAAAAAACCAAACACCACATATTCTCACTCATAGGTGGGAGTTGAACAATGAGAACACATGGACCCAGGAAGGGGAACATCACACTCTGGGGACTGTTGTGGGGTGGGGGGAGGGGGGAGGGATAGCTTTAGGAGATATACCTAATGCTAAATGACGAGTTAATGGGTGCAGCACACCAGCATACCACATGTATACATATGTAACTAACCTGCACATTGTGCACATGTACCCTAAAACTTAAAGTATAATAAAAAAAGAAACATACCTCAGCATATAAAAGTTATATATAGATATATAGATATCACATATAGTATGATACTAAATGGGGAAAAATGAAAAGCTTTTCCTCTAAGATTGACAACATGACAGAGATGCACACTTTCACTACTGTTATTCAACACATGGCAGCTAGAGCAATTAGCAAGAGAAAAAATAAAGGGCAAGCAAATTGGAAAGGAAGAAGTCAAATTATGTTTGTTTGCAGATGATGTGGTCTTATATTTGGAAAATCCTAATTCACTAAAACACTATGAGAACTCACAATTTTATTCAAGATATAGGATTAAAAAGTTAGCAGCATTTCTATATGCCAACAGTGAACAATGTGAAAAAGAAATCAAGAGAGTGGTCCCATTTACGATAGCCTCAAATTAAAATTAAATACCTAGGAATTAACCAAAGACGTTAAAGATCTCTACAATGAATACTATAAAACATTGATGCAAGAAATTTAAAAAGACAAAAATATGTATTTTATGTTCATGAATAAGAATCAGTATTTTTAGTGTCTATATTAACCAATGCAATCTATAGACTTAATGCAACCCTATCAAAACATCGATACTCTTCACAGAAACAGGAAAAACAATCCTATAATGCAGACAGAACCACGAAAGACTCAGAATAGCCAAAGTTCTTGTAAGAAAAAATTTTGCCTTTATGTGCCTGGCTTATTTGTCTTACCATATGATCTCCAGTTCCATCCATGTTGTTGCAAATAACAGGATCTTATTCTTTATAAGTGAAAAGTACTCCTGGGGGTGTGTATGTACATTTGCTTTATCCATTCATCTGTTGACATGTTGCTTCTAAATCTTGGCTAATGTAAACAATGCTGTGTGAAAGGAAAACAAATCTTTGGACCCCAAAATCACTAAGCTAAAGGGAAAAGTCAAGTTGGGAACTGCTTAGGGCAAATCTGCTTCTCATTCTATTCAGTCATCCCTCTGCTCACTGCAAGTCCTACCAGTACACAGGAGAAAATTTAAAAATGAATAAAAGCAAAATAATTCAATGAAAACAAAAAAGCAACTGTCATTACCTCCATAAGAGGTGACTGTGTAGGTAGAAAATCCAAATGTAACTGACTAGCTGTTAGCTTAACTGTACAAAACACTATTAATATTCCTAAATTCTATCCATACTTAGAAAATAAAATACAATAGCAAACTTCACCTGCTCCACCCTATATTACTCCCTATGTTGATAACATTTGAGATGTCTCATGTAGCTGATTTATTTAAATATTTGCACCAATTCAGATTTAATCAAATTTTACTATTATTTTTACTTCTTTGTTTTTGCCGACTATTGATTATTATTATTATTTTTTTAAGACAGTCTCACTCTGTGGCCCAGGCTTGAGTGCAGTGGCACAATCTCAGCTCACTATAACCTCTGCCTCCTCGGTTCAAGTGATTCTCCTGCCTCAGTCTCCCAAGTAGCTGGGATTGCAGGTGCACACCACCACACCTGGCTAATTTTTGTATTTTTAGTATAGACGGAGTTTCACCATGTTGGCCACGCTGGTCTCAAACTCCTGACCTCAGGTGATCCACCCACCTCGGCCTTCCAAAGTGCTGGGATTACAGGTGTGAGCCACCACACCCAGCCTGATTAGTATTTTTAATGCATTTCTTTGAATTCATTTTCTCTTCTTTATGGAGTGCATCCTCCAGTTTTGTTTTTTTGGTTTTTTTTCCCCTCACAGAGTTTACAGGTAGTCAGTAGTACATACTTCTGAATAAATTCTGTCTTAGGTTGGTTTCAGTGATAGTTTGGCTGACTGTAAATTTCTATTTCCAATGTTCTTTTCTGTGAGAACTCACTATTGATTTCTGCACTTCTTTTTGCTTCTGATGTCACCACCCTGATCAAATCAAAGTCTCTCTCATTCCTTTGAAGCAAATAAGTTTATATCATTCTGGTGATATAAAATGTGACCTTCATGTTTCTGGGTATGCTTTTTGTTTTTGTTGTTTTCCATTTATCCATTTCAACATAACATGAACTTTTATAACAAAAGCACATTATCCTTTTCCAGTTTCTGGAAGTTTTTCTCAATTATTTTTGTTACTAATTCTTTGAAATTTATTAAAACTGGCTTTATGCCAAGTAAAGTGGTAACTATTACATATGCAATTTAAATGGCTGCATAATATTCTCTAATCACGATATATGTCCATTAAAATCAAAGTGGGAAATAATCTATTCGAATCTTCTATATCCTTATCCTTTCACTTTATGTGTTCTACTTGTCCATTTTATCTAGTTTTTTTCCCTCTCTCTTCCTGCTTTTCTTTTGAATTTATTTATTTATTTATTGAGACTGAGTCTCACTCTGTTCCCCAGGCTGGAGTGCAGCGGCATGATTTCGGCTTACTGCAACCTCTGCCTCCCGGATTCAAGTGATTCTCGTGCCTCTGCCTCCTGAGTAGCTGGGACAACAGGTGTAAGCCACCACGCCCAGCTAATTTTTTTCTTTGTATTTTTAGAATAGAAGGAGTTTCACCATGTTGGCCAGGCTGGTCTTGAACTCCTGACCCCAGGTGATCCACCTGCCTTGGCCTCCCAAATTGCTGGGAATACAGGTGTGAACCACTCTGCCCAGTCTCTTTTGAATAATTTAAATCCGTCTACCCTCACCCACCAATTCCATCTTTTTTCCTTTGATTGGTTTGGAAATTAAACCTCTATTGGTTTGGAATCTTTACTATTCTTTTAGTTGTTTTCCTTGAAATTTTACACTGCATTTTGCATTACAATTTAACAAAGGCTAAAATTAAGCTAATTTTAACTCCCTCCACAAAATAATGCAAACACTGTAGAATGCCTTCACTCTGATCACCTCATTTTTGTATTTATTTTCAGTTGTTCGCTTATTCTGTCTTGTTTCCTTTAATTCCACCAACCACAAACAGAAGTTGTTTTACATACAGCTTTCTTATTGTTGCAAATACGTGATTAGAGTTTCAGATGTGTCATCTGCTTACTAGCTACTAGATTCTAACTATTCATAACTGCACTCCTTAATCTTTTCCTTTCTTGCTAACCTTCTCTATTAACATTTCTTTATTGAAACTTTGTTGGTCTTAAATGCTCTTAAGTCTTAAAGATTATATTTTTCTGTAAATGACTACCTCAATTTTATTTATTTATTTATTTATTTTTGAGACAGAGTCTCACTCTGTCGCCAGGCTGGACTGCAGTGGCGTGACCTCGGCTCACTGCAACCTCTGCCTCCCAGGCTCAAGTGATTCTCCTGCCTCTGCCTCTCAAGTAGCTGGGATTAGAGGCACCTGCCACCACGCCCGGCTAATTTTTGTATTTTTAGTAGACACAGGGTTTCACCATGTTGGCCAGGCTGGTCTCAAACTCCTGACCTCAGGTGATCTGCCTGCCTTGGCCTCTCAAAGTGCTAGGATTACAGGCATGAGCCACCACACCCGGCTCTCACCTTCATTCTTGAAATACGACTCTACAGTTCTTCATTGGTAATGATTATTGCCACTGACTCTCCTTCATGGTGGTTTGTTTCCTCTGTCTACAATTTTCCCTGGAACCTCTGCTGCTCCTGGTATGCACCACTCCAAACTCACTGAGGCCAGACTCTGAGGACACGCCCATCTTTTGTAGTCACTCTCGTGATTGTCGTTATTTGATGAATTTATTTTTTAAATTAATTAATGTATTTTTTTGAGACAGAGTCTTGCTCTGTTGCCCAAGATGGAGTGCAGTGGCGTGATCTCAGCTCACTGCAACCTCCGCCTCCCAAGCTCAAGCGATTCTTCTGCCTCAGCCTCCCGAGCAGCTGGGATTACAGGCACCCACCACCAAGCCCAGATAACTTTTGTATTTTTAGTAGAGATGGGGTTTCACCACGTTGGCCAGGCTGGTCTCGAACTCCTGACCTCGTGATCTGTCCACCTCAGCCTCCGAAAGTGCTGGGACCACAGGCGTGAGACACCCCACTGGCCATGAATTTATTTTATGGAAGAAGATAAACATACTAAAGATTTCATAATTATTTTTCACTAATGTTATACTAACAAGAAGTTACATTATTAAATAATTGCACTAATACTGGTGCTCAATATTAGATAGTGGTACAGTTACTTTTTTGTTCCTCCCATATAAATTTCTCAGCTATGAATTTGTCTTGCCACAAAAGAGGCCTAAAGGATAAATCTATTCAGGCAGATTTGAGAAGAGTAGTTGACTCCCCCAAAATACACATTTTCCTATTTCAACATCATTGTTAATGAAATGAAGTGGCAGTGCTCACCTGGAAGAAAACACTTGCAAAACATACATCCAACAAAAGATCTGTAACCAAAATATACAAGAGCTCTTACTGTTCAATAGTAAGACGATAAATCACCCTAATAAAAAATAGGCAATGGTTTAAACAGATGCTTCACCAAAGAAGACATACAGACAGAAGCAAGCACAAGAAAAGATGCTCTAGATTGGGCGCCGTGGCTCACGCCTATAATCCCAGCACTTTGGGAGGCCAAGGCGGGTGGATCACCTGAGCTCAGGAGTTCGAGACCAGCCTGGCCAACATGGTGAAACCCTGTGTCTACTAAAAATACAAAAAATTATCTGAGCATGGTGGCAGGTGCCTGTACTCCCAGCTACTTGGGAGGCTGAGGCAGGAGAATCGCTTGAACCTGGGAGGTGGAGCTTGCAGTGAACGAAGATCGCGCCACAGCACTCCAGCCTGGGCGACAGAGCAAGACTCAGTCTCAAAAAAGGATATATATAATGATATAGCACTGCATATGTATCAGAATGGCTAAAATTAAAGATGGACCATACCAAAGCTGGTCAAGATATAGAGCCACTGAAACTCTCATACACTACTGCTGAAAATGGAAAATGGTTCATCTGCTTTGGGAAACAACTTGGCAGTGTATTAAAAAGTTGAGCATGCACTTACCATATGCACTAGGCATTCTACTACCAGGTATTTACCCAAGAGAAACAAAGGAATATGCCTACAGAAAGGCTAGTTCACTACTGATCGTAGTCACATTGCTTGATACTTGAGGTCCACAGGAGCAGTAATAGTGACTAAAATTCACTGAGATTTACTAAGTTCCAGGTATTACTTTCATATATTAATTTGTTTAATCTTCATTAACATTTCCATGAGGAAGCAGTGAGGGAGGAAGGACATCTCTCTGGCCAGCCAAATTCCTGGCCAGCCAAATTCCCTTAAGTCAACCATCAATCACTTACCATCGAGGTCGAGTTCATCCTCCTCCAAGGGAAGGCTGAAGATACTGATGGCGGCTCAGTTATGGTATCTCTCAGGGAAGGGAAAAAACTGGCTTCTTCCCTAGAGAGTGGGGCCGTGATCAATGTGGCCGTGATTAATGACACACATGTCCTTTTCATGATGAGTTTCATGGTGCATCGCATGCTAGCCTACAGACTGTACCTTTCCACTCTTCCTGTTTCACTTTGCAATGATATTCACTAGAAAAAGGATCTTTTTCTGGGCTAACAGGCAGCCAATCTTCCAGCAAATGAACTGGGTCACTTAATGAAGAACCATAAGTTGTCATCAATAGTGATGCAGACTTCTCAATGATCAGGTTTGCAGGTTTACAAAGACAGATCAGTAGTTCTTCGTGACAAAGAACAGTAAATGATTATGATCAAAATTGTATTCTTATAATCTAAAACACCAATATTGTCTTTCTTTTTCTTTTTTTTTTTTTTTTTTGAGACGGCGTCTTTCTCTGTCACCCAGGCTGGAGTCCACTGGCGTGATCTCAGCTCACTTCAATCCCCGTTTCCTGGGTTCAAGCAATTCTCCTGCCTCGACCTTTCAAGTAGCTGGGAGTACAGGTGTGTGTCACCACGCCCAGCTAATTTTCTGTATTTTTAGTCCAGACGGGGTTTCACCATGTTTGCCAGGCTGGTCTCAAACTCCTGACCTCAGGTGACCCACCCACCTTGGACTCCCAAAGTGCTGAGATTACAGGCATGAGCCACTGCACCTGGCTAATGCCTTGCAGTACACATCTAAAGAGAGCATTTGACTTTATCTAACCAGTGCTTGACTCTGAAATCTGTTAACTGTATGTCTTCTATGTCTGAAAGTATTTTTTTTCCAATTCCTATGCTAAGTGCTCTATTTACTTCCTTATCTCATGTGAACCTTACAAACCATACGAACATATTTTTTAGAAATTTTCCTTGAAACTTTAAGAAAGCAAATGGCAATGTGGTGTGTGCTTTCTTAAACTTCCTTAAAACTTTATTCAGTGTATCCTCTTCCCAGCCTCACTTTTTGTGACTCTTGGCAATGACTGCATCTTTCACACCATAGAAAATAACCTGCTCTGAAACATCAACGCTCACAAGCTGGTCTTACCAGAACCTCCATGAACCAAATGCTGCAAAGAAGCCTCAGAATCACAGATGCATAACATCTAGCTAGCCTGATAACATTACACAGCTGTTTATTTTTTATTTTTATGTCTATTACTTTTAGTGTAGCAGTTTTCTTATACTCAAATGTCTAAACATTGAAAACTCAGCCAATGCAAAGCTATACAACAAACCCTTTGACAGCCTTCGCACATTTGAACAGTATTATTTTTCTTAAATGAGCCAATTCTGAGACACAAATTTCATAATTCTTGAAAGATTTTCTTCCACAATAGAAATTTTGGTTAAAATGATTTATTTGACCCGAATCAAATTATGGAATTATGTTCTAAAACTAACTGTATTACATTTATTACATCTATTGGCCCTCAAGCCAAAATTCTGCCAGCCATTTCTCGTCTTCGTGCTGTGCTCACAAGGACCAGCAGCATGTGCTAATACTGACTGTCTGCCCAGTAACATGCTAGAGTATGAGGAAGGCACCTCAGGCACATGGAGGCAATAGCTGCAACTGGGTCAAGGCACATGCCCTATTTCTTCATCACTCACACACTCAGAAATCCACAATGGGGAATATGCATTTTGCATGGAAGAAGAAAAAAATGACTCAATCCTAGCTAGGGGGATTCCCACCTCACTCCCTCACAGCACTCTCTACCCAACCACCTTCCCTCGCCACACTCAGACATGCTCACACCTACACACAAGGATGATCTGGCCACTTCTCCCATTAATTCACCACTCCTAGAAAAACTGTATTTGGCTTAACTTTATCAAGCTGTCTGGCTGCCTGAAGGTTTATAGATGTCAAAATAAAAAACTAATTACAACTCGGAATACCGCAGTAGCACCTGATTTAATGTCTAAGGCAGCAGGCCAGTGAACATACTGAGAAAGGAGAACCCTCACACACTCTCCATAAAGGAGCCATGATGGGGATCAGCATGGAGGATCCTCAGAAAACTAAAACTAGAGTTACTATATGCCCACAATCCCACTGATGGGTATACATCCAAAAGAAACAAAAAACAATATATCAAAAAGATATCTGCACTCCCATGTTTATCTCAGCCCTATTCACAACAGCCAATATATGGAGTCAACCTAAGTGCCCATAACAGATGAATGCATAAAGAAATGTGGTATGTATACACAATGGAATACTATTCAGCCATAAAAAAGAATGGGATCCTGTCATTTGCAGCTACAAGGCGTAACTGGGGATCATTGTGTTAAGTGAAATAATCCAGGCACAGAAAGAAAAATATTACATGTTCTTAGTCATATGTGAGAGCTGAAAAAGTGGATCTTATGAAGACAGAGAATAAACTGATGATTACCAGAAGCTGGGAAGGATTTGGCAGGGGAGGGCTCAGGAGGCTGAGGCAGGAGAATTGCTGGAACCCGGGAGGTGGAGGTTGCAGTGAGCCAAGATCATGCCATTGCACTCCAGGCTGGGGGACAAGAGCGAGACTTCATCTCAAAAATAAAATCATAAAATAAAATAAAATTGAAAAAAGTTCCCGGTTATCATGTTGTTGAGTACTACTTAATCAGAATATACTTGAAAACAAAAGATTCTTTGTGGTTTTTTAACTCTTGGTAATTAATCCATTTTAGGCAGTCTTAAAAAAATGATGTAGGACAGGGAAACCAATATGAAATGGGTAGTCTGAAAAGCAGTTATTAGATATTGACCATCATTTTAGGAAAGGCAGGCTATTTACCCCACTATATGCTCCCAGGTAAACTTGTCTTCAATTCCTGTTAAGTCAAACGGGAAAAACCAAACTTGCCATCTCTCTATATTTACTATCATTTAAAAAATTCTGTTAAGAGACACCAAAACATAGTATTTCGTACCTCCTTGCAACATAAAAAATTGGCTTCCCAGCTTTGGAATTCCCAGCTTGGTAAAAAATACTTAATGTTTTCAAAGCCTTGATCTCTTCTTTTTCACATACCTGATGCCTAAAAGAAAAAGAACAGGGTAACTGTGAGGCTTTGTGTTGTCTACTGAGTATGTAAAACAGTCCATAATTGGATAAACAATAAAATGCTAAAATGAAAAATTATTTTAAAAGCAACAGGCATTCTAAAGGGTAATTTGACAACATGCACAAAAAATCTCAAGATATTATTCTTTGAACCACAAAAGCACTTTTAGGACTATTCTAAGAGAACTACTGGATGAGGATATTAACCATAGGATTGTTTTTACTCATGACTTCTTTGTGTCAGACAGAAGTTTATGATTTTTTAACGAATTCATTTTATTAACCTTTTCCTTTCTAGTTTATGGATTTTGAATGGATGAAAAAGGCCTTGCTTTGCCCATGTTTTTTTTTCTTTCTGATTTATGGGAGTCTATCCTCATAAATGGTATGAAAATATTTTTTCAGATCATTACTCAGTTTTATCAACACCATTTATTGAAAGTCCATCCTAATCTTGATTTCAAATACCACTTTTATCATATATTATGTTCCCATATGTATTAAAGCCTGGTTTACTTTTTATATAGTCTGCTCAAGACTCAGTGTGCTTCTTTAACTTCAAGATTAATGTCATTCATCAACTCTAGAAAACATTCATCCTTTACCTTTTCAAATATTACTTCTTCCCATTCTCACTGAGCTCAATTTCTAGGGAACACCTACTAGACATATTTTGGAACTTCTCATTCTATCTTCTGCATCTCTTAATCTCTTTCATATTTTCCATTTCTTTGTCTGTAATGACTGTATGCTAGGTAATTTGCTTAGAAACTACCTTCAGCTATAAACTTAATTAATTAATTAATTAACAGATGGAATTTTGCTCTTGTCGCCCAGGCTGGAGTGCAGTGGCACGATCTCAGCTCACTGCAACCTCTGCCTCCCAGGTTCAAATGATTCTCCTGCCTCAGCCTCCCAAGTAGCTGGGATTACAAGCACCCGTCACATGCTTGGCTAATTTTTATTTTTATTTTTTTTTTAGTAGAGATGGGGTTTCGCCATGTTGGCCAGGCTTCTCTCAAACTCCAAACCTCATGTGATCCACCTGCCTCAGCCTCCCAAAGTGCTGGGATTATAGGCGTAAGCTACTGCACTCTTCCTAATTTTTTTTAAGTATACATGTTTTCTTTTACACTTAGTGTATCTATGAGTATTGTGATTTGGGAAGGAGACTATATTAACTCAGCCCATCATGCTGCTGGTACCAGGTCAGCATTTTAAAAATATTAATGGAAACAACCTAGATATCATTTGATAGGAGAAAAACATATACATGTGCATAGATAAATGACTGGGAGACTATACACCATATGTTAACTGAATTATTTCTGAGCAGGAGGATAAACAATTTTTAATTTTTTTTTTACTTTCTTTAGATTTCTATATTGAGTAATCCAATAATTTTTTTTAAATAACAGAATATTGGCTGGGCATGGTGGCTCGTGCCTGTAATCCCAGCACTTTGGGAGGCTGAGGCCGGTGGATCACCTGAGGTCAGGAGATCGAGGCCATCCTGGCTAAAACGGTGAAACCCTGTCTCTACAAAAAATACAAAAAATTAGCCAGGCGTGCTGGCGAGCGCCTGTAGTCCCAGCTACTTGGGAGGCTGAGGCAGGAGAATGGCGTGAACCCAGGAGGCAGAGCTTGCAGTGAGCCGAGATCATGCCACTGCACTCCAGTCTGGGCAGCAGAGCGAGATTCTGTCTCAAAAAAAAAAAAAAAAAAAAAAAAAAAAAACTGAGGCTATTATAAAGCTACCTTCATTTTTTTAAAACAGAAAATGGGTCTCCAAAAGCATCAGTGGGAATTTAGAACAAAAATAAGATCTAACATTTATTAAACACTTTACAAGTACCAGATACTGTCCTAAGTATACTATATATATTAGATCACATAATCTTCAAAAGCACAAAAGACTGCTTTGTAAGGAAAGGTAGGATCTTAGAAAAAAAGGAGTAATAAAAACATTTTCCTAGAAAAATAGAAAAATGGCCAGGATGCCCTCAGTGATGTTAAATTTAAAAATTGTTTGTTTTGATGTACTCATCTTTATATGTATTTCTATTTACTTATTTTTTTTACTTCTTTTAATTTATATTTTTACTTATTTCTTTATTTATAGACAAGTCTCATTCTGTAGCCTAGGCTGGAATGCAGTGGTGCATTCACAGTTCACTTCAGCCTTGAGCAAACCTCCCACCTCAGCCTCCCAGGTAGCTGGGACCACAGGTACGCACCACCACACCTGGTTAATATCTTATTATTTGTAGAGATGGAGTCTTGCTATGTTGCCCAGGCTGGTCTCAAACTCCTGGCTCAAGCAATCCTCCTGCCTTGGCATCCCAAAATGCTGGGATTACAGACATGAGCCACAGTGCCCAACCTATTTATTTATTTATTTAAGACAAGGTCTCACCATGTTGCCCAGGCTGGTCTTGAACTCCTGGTCTCAAGTGATTCTCCAACCTTGGCCTCTCAAAATGTTGGGATTACAGGTATGACCCACCATGCCTGGCCTAAAAATAGTATTATATTTTTGTATTATATAATTTTCAATTAGGTAATATGAATATTCTGTACAGAAAATATGCCCTTAATTACATAGGAATAAACGTTTGTTACACTAAGAAAAATCTAACAAAGCTAAAAATAAAAATTAATTTGGAAAGTACATTATATACCCATACATTCTTATGTTTATACATTCTTTCATATATTCATATATTCTTTTAACAGTATCAATGGTTTGGGGTTATGTGTACAAAACCATGACCTATATGTAATACAACTAACAACAGGCACTTACAATTCAAGGCATATGATATACAAAGCTTTAACTTCTCATCATCAGATTTTGTTTTTTTCTTTCTGTTTTGGCAGATACTGTGAACACAACATTCAACTCACAGACACTATGGAGACCTTACTAAGCATAAGTTACTGTGAAATGTACTTTAAAAGATTCAGCAAACTACTCTCACTGTATCATCATAGAGTCAGTGTCTAACCATGAAGATCTTTTTGTTCACAAGCTAAATGCCATGAAATGGGATTCAAAACAAATGTCCACAGAAATTTTATAGCAATACTGAAGTAGACTATATTTTCTGAGCCTTAATCTAAAAGAAGTTAAAACCATTCATCTTTATGAGGGTTCTGAAAAGTGTTATAGTGTAGTAGAAAAGTTCTGCACTTAAAACCAAAAGACCTATGAATCAGGTGTGGGATCTCACACAAGCCAGTTATTCACACTGAGTTGCATTTTCCTTAACTATCATCTGAAAATAATGTTTTCTTCATTCCCTGGTAGGTATTAAATGTGAAAACTTATGAAAGCGAGATGATAAAATATGATTTGTTACTACTATTATGGCAATCAACATATAAAACATATTCTTTCTATATATATATATATATATATATATATATATATATATATAAATAAATAATATATAGAATAGGAGAAAAGTTGGGTCCCCAAACATGGCAATGTGATTATTAGATGCATCTTTCCTCATAGTCTTCTATCATATCTAACAAGTGGCCTAGTGGTAAACTCTGCTTCTCAACCAAAAAGAAAGCAATCTACATTTCAAGGTTGTACTTTACCTCATCATAAATTCCTCAAACTTTTAACTGGTAAGGTTAAGGCTGGACCGGTATGTATCTGCCACAGGTTTGTGCTCTGGAGGACCGAGGTATACAAGAAGTGTTGCCATTTATCAAAAGGTCATCTTCCAACAGCTTTATGATCCCTAGATATAGCAAACTACTTAGAAAAAAGTAGCAGTTCACATTTAGCAGTACACATTTCTTTAACTTGTAACTGTTGCTTTTCCTTTAACTGTCAGCTGGTGGTCCCTGTTGATTTGTAAACAGCACCCAAAAGACCTCAGGCCCATGTCTACTTCAATCCATTAATAATGCATAAAAGATTAAAATGCTCTGTGGTTTAAACTCCCATCTCCCAATTGCTTACCCTTAGCTTCATAGTCCACTACTTTTCCTGTGAATGTGCTAACCACTTTTATTGGCATTTAAAAATAATTTGGACTCAATTTCCTTTGTAAGGAACTCCTCATACTTAGGAATTTTGTCCCTTTACAAGTTTATATAACTAGATGGGACAGCAAGTAATTTATGTTAACACAAGAGACTAATAAGAGCTAATGAAACAATGCCCAAATTAATAATTTCAATTTTTAAGTATTTTTTCTTTTTTTTTTTTTTTCCCTGAGATGGAGTTTTGCTCTTATGGCCCAGGCTGGAGTGCAATGGCACAACCTCGGCTCACTGCAACCTCCGCCTCCCAGGTTCAAGTAATTCTCCTGCCTCAGCCTCCCAAGTAGCCGGGATTACAGGCGCCTGACACCATGCACAGCTAATTTTTGAATTTTTAGTAGAGATGGGGTTTCACCATGTTGGCTAGGCTGATCTCGAACTCCTGACCTCAGGTGATCCACCCACCTCGGCCACCCAAAGTGCTGAGATTACAGGCATCAGCCACAGTGCCAGGCCAGTATTTTCTATATAAAGCTTTATTTGCATATACTTAGAGTATCACAAATGAGTTTATCATAGAATTGAAACACTGACAATATTTTAATTACTGAATTCCTATGAATTAGCTGTTCTTCAGATTCAAATGCCAACACTAATTTGAACTTCTTTGGGTCTATGACAGTTTGCAAGCCATACAAACCCAAAGAGCTAATCTGTGATTTCTTAACTTGAGAAAATAATAATAATAACCACCACTGGAACCTACATAGGTCTGTTGATTATTTAACATGACTTAACCTTTTGTTTGTATTTTTTTGAAAAAAAAAAAAAAAAGACTTTCTCTTTCTAAACCATAATTCTTAGTCCAAGAAGATGCAAAGTTTTTAAAAAGCACTATTCATGACCAATAATTTTATTGATCTAAATTAAAATGGAGAATGTTCACTATCCTCATGACTGGGAAATCTTACCTGTTGCTAGAAAGACACTGGCCAATTTTCTCCTGATTGTTCCGGAGTAGATGATGTAAAGCGAGCACATTGCCGTCACTGCTGAAGGAAAGGCTATGATTTACTGCATCACTTGTAGGACAATCAGATGCCATATCAAGAAAAAACATTAGAAAATGCAAAGTCACTAGAATTTTCAACACCAGAGACACACCATACTTATGTTTGAATTAAATTTATACGAAGTAACTTTGTGAAGCAACTGAGATGACAATTACAAATATGGAGGGCTTGTTCCCACAATGTGATTTGTCATTAGACAAAGTAAAAAGGACAAGGAGAAAGTTGGCTTTCCATTTCTGATACCTGGCTTCAGCTTCTGTAGTTAAAGAACAGCAAAATTGAGATGGATGAAACTTTGGAAAGAGGCTGGTATTTTACAGATAAGGAAATGAAGGTCCAGACAAAAGACCTCCCCAAAGATATATAGCCTGTTAGGTCAAAGCCAGTATTAAAACTTTGTTCCTTTTAACTTTCTTTGGGCCCTCAGTCTGCCAGAATATGAATCCTGTGCTGACATTCACTCTCTTTCCAACATGGCTTGTCATTCAGCAATATACCTTTTAAACTCCAATTTTCCTAAAAGAATAAAAGTCAGTAACAATTACAATGATGATAAACTGGAAGAGAGAGTTGTACAAGGCTAGCTTAGATGATAAGGATCAATTAGATTCACACTGCATGAAAAGCAGAATTCCAGACATAAATTTACAAAGCACTTTCTTATGAATTATCTCATTTTTTCTCTCTAAAAACAACTCAGGCAAAGAGTTTATCCCCACTTTACAGATAAACCAATAACTCAGAGAAATAAAGTGAAATAACTGGTTATGGAAATCCAGCAGAAAAGTTTTCTAAAATCATAAAGTTCAGTTACTCATGTACAAAATCTTACGTGTTTGCATTACTTGGTTTAAAGAATAACATTTTAGTTTAGATACACTTCCAAATTTAAGTATCACAAATATTCTGATACCAATAAAAACCTTATTAAACATTCTTATGCATTATCAATACCAATTTGGTTTTAGTTTTAAATAAAAGGAATCCTATTTCTTCCTTATCCCCATATTGTACCATCCTCAAATCCTTTATTTAACTAGACATGTCCAAAATGCCTCTTGGTTTTCAAATATGAAAATCACTACCAAATTATAAAAAATATTAATTTATTTCAAGACTGTCTTTTATAGTAAAATAAAATAAGGCAAGCTATGTCTTGACCTAGAGCAGGAAGAGAAAAAAACCTACACGGAACTTCATGTAAAACAGGTACATGGATTTATGTGAAACTGAAAATATTTGATTCAAACAGAGCAAGTGAATAAGTGGCAAGTAGCTTACCTTCAAGCTGCATCAAAGCTGCTTTTCACAAAATCATTGAAAGGCCGCATATGCTCTTCTTTTGTGAAGAGAACATGATTGGCAATACTCTGAAGTATTTACACAATAAAACAGGGTTATAAATAATCAGATTACTTATTGTATGAAGTTTATACATTAATATATTCTTTAAAAATATGAATTTTCTCGATATAATTTCTGCTAGTAGTTAAAATCAATCATTTCTCATTCTATATTTTAGGTAGTGTTTCTATTCTTCCTAATTATAATTATATTTACATGTACAAATACATATTAAAAATGTTTAATGTCTTAAAATAAAAAATCCTACAGCCTTCATTGTAGTCTGTTTCAGAATGTCTAGAATGATTACGCAAAAAATGATCCTCATGACACAAGACATCTGCTATAATAAAACGTATTCTCATGAAAATAAGGTCCATCAGGTACCTAACTAATGAATTCCTTTGTAATATAAACAAAATAAAAACACATAACTGAAAACCGTAGGGTATTTCCAATATAAATGTAAGAGGAAGTACTGTAAGAAAAGCTGAAAATTTAGTTGGAAGGGGAATTTAAGATAGCTAGATTATCAAAATAATTCACCTTTGACATTAACTTCAAGCCCCTTCCGATTCTAGGTGGTGGCTTTTTATCTAAAATCCCTGCTTCATACAGTGAGACAATGTCAGGATTCATAAATCTGAGGAACATGGCACTTCCTGCTGCACTGATACTGTTCTGAGGGAAACGTTGGCTAACCCCCTAAAAACAAGTTGAGACTTGAGTATAAGGTTTGAATTAAAATAGGGGCATGGGAACAAAGAGTTCAAAGGTCAAAATTTGCACAACAACTCTGAGTCAATCAGTCCTCATGAATGACACATTTCTATTTTTTCTTCTCCCAAAACATGAGAAAATAAAGTTTCCTCTCAATTCTAGTCTTGTATCATATTAAAGTACAATTTAGGTATCTCAGAGGAAAGAAAAACCTCATGGATGAGATGGGTAGAAGAAACCTGAAAACAGATCTTCACTGTATCATCACCTATACTGCAAGTTTGAGGAGTCATGAAAACAGACCAAATTTTCACACAAAGATGATCATAATTTATTAAGATTAACAGACATGAAAGTGTGGTCAACATTATAAGGTGAAACTAAATTTTCAACAACACACCCCCAAAACATCCTATACCTGATAGTACATATTTATGTTTTGTTGTGTACCAGTTACAACTGAATTGAAGAAAAAAATGCTTGCTATAAAAAAACAAAATCTTAGATTCCTATTGAGGAAAAAAAAACTTACTTACAAGTAATGTTATTGCCTGTTGCCAGCTTCCTTTATAACAACCTACCTATTATTTGAACCATGGAGGGATGGGAATTCTTGGGCACCTAAAAGAAAAAAGGATCTCAGCAGAACAGCGAACCCCTATGTCTACCTCAATGTATAATTCTGTCAAATAAAAATAATTTAAGAATTCAAGAAATGGTTGTCCAGCCTGAAAAGTAATGTGAACCCAATATTTAAAGTGGATTGATTTTCTCTTTATAAAACATTCTACATTAAGATAAAGTAAAAGGTACCTTAGACTGGGAAGAGTGCCATAAAATGGGTTCAGCCCCCATCCCTTCCCAGTGTCCCCTGCTTTAAATCATGTTATAGATGAAAATTATATTATTTTGGAATTTACATTTTTATATATACCATATATATTCATTTTTAAAGAACACTTAATGTAACATTTTAATCTCTACAGCTATTCTTGCTTAGTGTGGCTAACTGCTGTTTAAAGTAGCAGTGATTACAAAACTGTAGCATTCCACTCAATGTTTTGTGATTCCGAGGATAAACCTTCCTTTCAAAGGATATTGGTGTGGGGGACCCAGATTTACATGCAGAATATCACGTAACTATTTTTTGCACAATGCCTCAATAAATTAATATTTCCTGTCCTAAATTCACATGGCTGACTCCAGATTAACTCTGGAATCGGGATTATTTCACTTCATCCTGTTCAACGCAGTGCTTCATGAAGTCCACATTTTAAATGCATTCTTATCACTGCTTATAATCTCAAAATAGCTTTCTGTAATCTCTAATAGGAAGTTAGTAAAAATTAGATTTTAGAGAATAAAGTATTTGTAAGCGGTGAGGTGTAACAATATAGTCCCACCTTCAGTTACACTACACACAGTTCAGGAAGCTTTCTTTATGTTACAGTGTTTATTGCATGAAGAACAACCTTAACCCTTCAATAAGGGGAAACTGGTGAAGGTGGCTAAATATAGCTGCTTTATTAGAATGGCTTTAAAACCTAAATACCATTTATTTTTAGCTGAAATATATAAATTTAAAATTAGATATAGAAGTTTTAGCTAAAACTATAAAAAGATAAAGAATTAAGAAAAAATTTGAGTGCTTCGACTATTCCAGTATAGTGTTCAACCTTCTGGGGATGAGGAACCTCTTTGAAATCTGATAAAGGTTAGAAAAATGGATGTATGCTTTCACACAAATTTCTTCACATAATTTTAGAATATTCATAGACCATCACTGCTACTGAGTGGTTCTCTTAAAACTCCCAAATTTTAATCTCAAAACAGACAATTCTCTGGTTGGGCATGGTGGCTCATGCCTGTAATCCCAGCATTCTGGGAGACTGAGGCTGGTGGATCAATTGAGGTTAGGAGTTCCAGACCAGCCTGGCAAACATGGTGAAACTCCATCTCTACTAAAAATAGAAAAATTAGCTGGACGTGGTGGTGCACGCCTGTAATCTCAGCTACTTGGGAGGCTGAGGCACGAGAATCGCTTGAACCCAGGAGGTGGAGGTTGCGGTGAGCCATCGTGCCACTGCACTCCAGTCTGGGTGACAGAGCATGCAAGTGACTGTGTAAAGTGATATGTAAAGTCATGGAAAAAGGAAAGAGGCTTAACTAGTAACGGTCTGTGGAGGTAGAAGTCAAAGACATCCTTCTCCTGTCTGTCCCTGGATCTAAGGCAGATAAAAAGAAGGATAACTTAAAAAAAATTACAGATATCATTAAAGAAAAGCATATTTGTATATAACTTTTATAATTAAAAACAAATTTTAATGATCAAGAGGAGAAGTTATGAGGGCCTTGCTTCATGCAGTGTTAGCAAAAAAAAAAAAAGAGCACTTTTATGTGAAAAGATGATAAAACTGGTAGGATCCACTTCAAAGCTAACATGTTGCCCATCAGAGGATGTGATCTCAATTCGTAATAAAGCATCCAGGAGTTTTTATAGATAGGTAGCACCATATACCTATAGAAATGCATGAGTAGGACTTCATTATGCCTGCTCCATACATTTTACCTTAAAAGAAGACAATCAGCTCTGCACATTCTGTACATAATCATTACTTGACATACCTCAGCACACACACACACAAAATGAATGATACAAACCTTGAAACAGAGTGTCATTATTTTACTGGCCAAACTGTTGCCTCAGAGGAGAGTCTGAATGGAGTCAGTCTGCCAATTCTACTTCTTTACAAAACATGTTCCAGAGCAGTTGGTAGAGTAAATGCCAAGAACCAAATAGAGTAACCAGAACTCAAGCCAGTTCATCCTGAGAACAAAACAAAATCAGGTTAGTGCATTTTTGTTCTCAGGTAGATAGCTGAAGAGTGGCAAAAACATAAACCCAAAGTTGACAACTACTTGCTAAATTAAGGCAAAGGTGACTGATTAATATTTCTCCTGAGATTTATCTGCGTATATTGTTTATGATAGATGACTATATACGATGTCTACGATAGCTGTTAATTCCAAGGATTAACCGGTGAAAGCTATTAAGAGAGGCCTAGGCTTTACCAGGAGACAAAATGTCCAAGATTCAGTTCAAATTACATCACAAAATGAAAGAGAACAGAAACAGAAGATGACAGCAAATACTTTAGTTTGATTTGTACAAGCATTTGCACAGAGCAGAAATAAGACTGATGATCAGAAGAGTTCTACTCTCTTCTCATACAGTCAGGGGAACTCAGTGAATGCTGAACATAGACTAGGTAGAGACATGACAAAAACAGAAAGACTATAGGATTTTTGAGAAATCAGGAAGAAAAGGAACTGGGCGTTCAGAACCCAGAGATCAGCCAGATTTACATACAAAGCAAGGGGGACAGGGATGAGGGCTGAAATTCCAATTACCTAAATGACATCCTTGTAACTCCCTGTAGTAAAGCAGTTTGGGGTACACTCAAGAAAAATGATCTACTGGTAAATCACTGTTTAATCACAAGAAGAAATTTATAGAGAATAGGGGTAGCCATAAAAAGATGCCTCAATCCTCAAGCAGTAACAACAACGGCCAGGATCATGGCCCATAGCTCTCTAATTCTTGCCTGGTCCCAGGATTACAATAATGTGATAGGTGAGATCTGGCCTAATAGAAAATTCCTTCTCAAAGTCATTTAATATAAAACTCAACAACAAATTAAAGCTACTTGAATTTAACTGATTCTTTATTTAAAAAATTACTGAGTATTTTCAGTGCTAATCATAGGTAGATCCTAATAAGATAATTCACAATAGTCATTTTCAAAACATTTGAACGTTTGTGAAGTAATTTTAGGCTTTAGGAAGATTTCAATGATTTGGCGCTGTTGCTAATCAATCAGTATAAAATTTCAGTTATACAAGGTAAGTTCTAGAGATCTGTGGTGCAGCATTCTGCCTACAGATAGCAATACTGTATTCTACACTTAAAAATATGTTAGAGGGTAGATCTCATGCTAGGCGTTCTCACCAAAATAAAATACCAGAGGAGAAGCATTTCAGGTGGTAGCAGCAGCAAGGGTGCTTAAGGCAGAAACAAGTCTAACAAGGAGGGACAGAAAGGTAGCTGGTGTGGCTTTGGTGAACAAGAAGGAAAATGGCATAAGATGATGTTAGAGATGAGGCAGGGCCCAAATCAGGTGGAGCCTTGTAGGACAGGATAAGGAGTTTGAATTTTACTTTAAGTACAGGTGTAACAAATATCCTACAGCTTTAAGCAGAAACAAATCTACAATGACAGATTACCTTATTAGTTATACTTTACTATAAGTGAAACCATTTTTGGTACACTAAAAAGGAAATAGCCTTTTAACACTGGAAAGGAACCACCACCCTTCTCAACGTTTTCACATGTATTAGGAATGATGTGATTTGAGGAAAATTTTTCATTAAATTAAGAGAGAGACCTAATAGCCATATGATGTTTTCAGTGTTTAAAACAAACAATATCATAATATCAAATGCAAATACAGTGCTTACATTTTTAAAAATTGTGTAAGATATTATGGGGAAAAGAACAGCAAACTGGAGGTAGTAAACAGGCACAAATCGTGGATTCCAATTCCAGCGTTGCGACAACTGACTGAAATTAGGTTTAACTTAATTACCTTCTCAAATATATGAAGACAGCGGAGTAGATCAGTGATTTTTAATCAGTGTTTAAATGGAATTTTTCAGTGGGATGAAATGATATAGGACACTATTCAGGTCTAGCAGTGCCAACCACTTCCCTACAGCTGAAAAGTCACCTAACTAAACATCTAAGATTTCTTCTGGCTCTAAAATTTTATCAATTCATTCAACAAACATTTATTGAACAAATATGTTCTGAAGGATTTGCTATGTACCAGGCACTTTTCTTCCCCACTTACTCTATGCACTTACCCACTGAGAACAAGGAACCACACTGGCCAGAGCCATCACTATAGGGAGCTCTCCTTGATCACCCATCACTGTGACCAGTTCCACCAATTGCTCAAACCCATCAGCCAATACCGTTTCTGAAGTGTGTCAAATTCTGTGCCTTGTTGAGGGATTTTCATCAGAACTTCCATAAATGTAGCTGTCTGGAGATCCTTGTAGTACCCTAAACCTGATGTGGACAAATGGATGCAAATTTACTAACATGGCCTTACTGAAGTAATTTTTGCTTATCTTACAAGCCAGTTCTCTAGGCTGTGTATTTCTATATGAAACTTTCATTTGATCTCACCTATGGAGTGCATGAGACCACCGTCTATGCTGGCACTGAGTAAGTTTGACATTGCAAGGACTGCACAGTGCCTCCGTGATGCCAACCTCCGAGACATGCCACGTTTCCTGCCACCTGTTTGTGCACTTTCATCTTCAGCTTCACTGCAGTCACTCAAAAGGTTCATAAATAGTGTGAAGTATCTGAGAAATAAAAAGACTGACCTTTACATAGCAAAGGCCGTATCAACTAGAAAGCTAACCAGACATTCCAAAACTATCACATGTGCACGGTGTGACTGGCCCTGGATTAACTGCTTCTCTCCTCTCTCAGGATAATCAGCCAGGGTGACTCATTATGAAGCATGCTGTGTTGGGCATGATTATACCTGATATAGCCTAGCATACCTTTCATAACATAAGCATCAAATAGATGCAATGTTTCCTGGTAAATGTGTCATTTTTAATGTTTAGTATATAAAATTAGTGGTCCAAACAGCTTACACAATGTCACTTTTGTAAATGACTTAGTGAAGCAATCTGGGTTTTATTACAAGCAAAATTTCAGGGATCATATTATTTTCTTTAAAAATCATAAAACACAGTTATTTTCCTAATCCTAGTCCTGCATGGGGAACATTTCTTTGTTTTCTTTTTTGTTTTTTTGTTTTTGTTTTGTTTTGTCTTTGAGTGTGGGTGTGTGTGTGTGTGTGTGTGTGTGTGTGTGGCGGCGGGGGGCTTTATTTGCTTTTGCTTTGTGTTTTTTGGTGACTGAAATTTACTTAAGAAATAACTGTGTCCCCTTTGGCTTCCATCAATTCCACACCATCTCCTTCCTCAGGCTGCACAGGGAGACCAGCTAGAAGTGAAACTACTGCTTCCATGCTTGCCTGGTCCAAATCTCTGAAAAAAAAAAATTAGAGACCATAAATCTTTCAGGTTATTTCACTTCCTCTCAAATAAACCTCTTATTAACAGATATAAACTTTAGGAACTACCTGTTTCATTAAACAAATTATTAGCACAACCCAAATAATTTGAATTAATATGCAGATCCTAGAATACAAAATCATCTCAAATGAGGAGAAGACAATAGTAACTTTCTACAAAGTAATCTTGGCAAAATGACTATCTTCAATCAGAAGCATGTATAATTGGCCCTCTGTCTCAGCGAGTTCTGTATCCACAGATTCAACCAACCATGGATTGAAACTATTTGGGGGAAAAAAAAGTAGGGTTTCATCTGTACTCAACATGTAAAGATTTTTCTTTGTCGTTATTCCCTAAACAATATGGTATAACAACTTGTGTTTATATAAGATTTATATTTATTAGATATTATAAGTAATCTAATGATAATTTAAAATATATGGGAGGATGTGCATAGTTTATATGCAAATACTATGACATTTTGTATCAGGGACTTCAGTCTGTGGATTTTAGTGTTCATGGAAGTGAGATGTGGGCAGGAGTTTGGGGGGTGGTTCCTGGAACCAATTCCTGACAGATACTGAGAGATGACCATATTATAAAGCTAGGTTTGGTCAAAGAAACATATGTAAAGGCTTATTATACAGTCCATAGTGTTTAATCACTTTCTGATATGTGTCAATAAGCATTTATCATTAAAGCAGACTTAATTACACTTAATTACTTCCTTTTTTTTCTGTCTCTGGTGCCTGAATCAGGAAATCAATTATTTTTTAGAAAGACCAACACAATGAGTTCCTCAAATAATACCTTTTTCTATCTAATCATAACATAAATGCAATCTGAGGCTTTATGTACCTTATTTCCCAATAACGGTAGACTATTCTTCATAAACTGACAACACTAACTTCCCAAACATACCGCTCTCGCACATTTATTTTTACAGAAAGTCTATCAGTCAAAAAAAAGTAGTAATAAAGATTAGTATCTTTACATATTTCAACCACAAAAGTTTGACATCTAAAAAATTTAAATACACATAAAATACAAGTATAAAGCTGTAAGGAAGTAATTATAATTCTTACAGGAAAACCCACTAATACTTGAAGGTCATTCTCTTTTTTACCTTGTAATACATTTTACATCATCATCTGCTGCTTGGTTTGATGTTCCCATAACCCAGACTGTCAGGTATTCTACAATCTTATTCCTAAAGAATGGCGGAGAAAAGAGAAACAGCAAACAATTTTTTTGAAGCCACACACACACACACCTTTAATTGTGTAAGATTTCTTACAGTGCAAATAATTTGGCAGATAACTCAGGTGACATGACGATTTTATAGAAGAGATACTGATGTCACAGATGTAAAAGCCAGAAGGGAACAAGCAACGTGGATATTTAACCTCCAACATGGCCCTTATTTATGGTATCAAATTGGAAACAGAATCAAATTCTTAGCTCAAGTACAGCACAGTTTTAGAAAAAGGGAGGCTTGCCACAGGCACAAAGCTTACGGAAATTTGAGGAGAGACGTAGAGAAACACAAACATGTAAATTGCTCTCTTTTTATGTCTTCCTTCCTACCAATAACCAGATTTCTACTCTATTTCTGTACTTCATTCAACAAATTAAGATTTACAAGACCCTACATTGCTCTTTTGAGAACTCACCTAAATTTCATCTCTTGGCAAAATAAGAGGTCATCTCTCCTTGCCATCGTTACTTCAACCAACTGACACAGTTTCGTTTTATTTGAATTGCATGGACCATATTCCCAAGCATACGAACATACCTATACAGACACAGAGACAATAAAAAAATTATCAGATATAGACAAAAGAGAAAGCATTCAAAGTACTTTAGTCATCAAATAAAATGAACTAAATGTAAGTCTGAAAACAATATTTATTTTTATGAGAACATACACACCTTCTGGTTACCTGACTGTCACACCCTAGTTTGTGTGCAGTAAAGAATGGCAAATTATTTTATCAATTACTACCAATATCAATGTGTAAGAGGTTTTTCTGATCTCTTAAAGTATGTTTCTGCTACATTTCAGTAGAACGCTTACCTGACCAGATATAACATCATTGGTTCAATGCTAGCTTGCCCTAGATGTTCAGAGCTGCCTTCAGTATGATTATCTAGCAAGTTCTTCATTATAGCTATGGTTTGCTCTACAAATTGAGTGTTGGTATCCATCAATAAAAACTATAGAAAGAACAAATATATTAATCATTTGCCATCAATGCCCAGAAGACAGACCTCTAGAGAGATGCAACCGACTGATCTAAACACACAAACACAGAAGTGCACCCACAGGCACACAGCCAAACAAGCATACAGATACATGCAGACACTCATACCCATACACAAGGCAGGTATACCCTCAGGCACACATACACACCAGAGTTCCTAAGAAGCAAGCTGACCCCTACATTGAGATGACTCTTCTTTCTGCAATTTTTTGGCAATTTTTAAAAACTGTGAGCACCTAATTTAAATAATTGGAAAGAAAAAGCCTTCCTTATTTCAAACAAGGTGAAAAATAAAAAAGAGCACACTTTACCTGTCCTTGGGAGTCAAAAAACTTGCTGATGGCATTCTTCAGTTTGTTAAATAGCATCAGATAAAGAGCAGGACTCAATTCTAGACCCACCAGGTCCTTAACATTGGCCCGTATTTGAAGTCCCACTTTCTCATGGTTACACACCATTAAGGACAACAGCTGATCCATACATTTGCTGACAGGTGTACCTGCGTTTCCCTCTGAGGACATCACTGAAATCATGGAACCCTGACATTCACTGACTGGACCCATGGGTGGGCTATAGGTTGCCAGGCCAGAATTACTTCTCTGCTGGAGGCACACTCCCCCAAGGGCACAAAGGAAGCCAGTCATGTTGATCCATTCCTGTAGGGAGTCTGTGTCAGACAAATCTGCGCGTCCTCCTCCACTCAGATGGGATATTCGACTCCTAACAATGGTCATGTGAAACTTTCAGCAGCCTAAACACAAAATTTTTGGGCAAAGCATGAATTAAACCTAAATTAGTTGAGACTTGACAAATTACTCTTTATCCAACATTTCTTCCATGACAAAAGTACAAAAAATGTAAAAAACACATTAAAATCAACCCCAAAAATTACCATATACATTTTTAAAGAGCCACTGATTTATTTTTGTCATACACTAATATAATCGCCCAAGTATCAAATTTCTTTTAAAAAGCTTTGATTTCACATGGATGAACCTTGGAAACGTTATGCTAAGTGAAAGAAGCTAATCACAAAAGCCCACATATTCTAAAATTCCATTTACAGAAAAGATCCAGCAGAGACAAATCTGCAGAGACAGAAAGTAGATTCAAGGTTGCCTAGGGCTGGAGAAGCCGGGGGAAGAGAGACAAGAAAGTGGCGGGGAGGTGGGGTAGGGTGTTAGAGGCAGAAATAGCTAAAGGATACAGGGGTTTTTTTTCCTCAATTGATGAAATTGTTCTAAAACGGACTGTGGTAATGGTTGCACAACTCTGGGAATATACTAAAAACAGCCACTGAATTGGACACTTTAAATGGGTGAATTGTATGGTATATTAAACAGTTATCCCCCCAAAAGCTTTCATTCTAAAGCTACATGTCCCCTCCAAATAAAGCTATTAGGTACACAATTTTGCTTCATAAAAACATAACATTTTTCTTATTGTAATTAAGTATGACAGAAAAAAAACATGGGGGAATAACCAGTTTTTATAAATCGCCTAATAATGAGAGGAATATGAACATTACAAATCAATTACACACAAACACCAACTCATCAATTTCCAGAGTAACAGATAATATAGTCAATAGTAATAGTTGAATGAACTGTCCACATTTTAAAATTTCATTTAATCTATGGGTTCAATCTTTTGCCCAAGACATTCCTTAATTAGAATACTTAACAAAATAGCAAAATGAATTGTTTCCGTGTTTTTTTTCTCTACCTCTGTTGCTCCTCTTCTGAAAATTCTGTGAAACACCCTGATGAAGGGATAAAGAGCAAGAAAAGGTCTCTGCAACAGTCTCTAGCAGTGCTGCCCAGTATTTCTGTGATGATGGAAACATTTTCTCTCTCTGCTGTCCAGACTGTCATATGTGGCTACTGGGTACTTGCAATGTGGCTACTATATGATTGAGGAACTAAATTGTATTTAATTTTCATTATGTTAAAATTTAAATAGTCACACGTAGCTAGTGGCTACCATATTACGAAGTACAGGTCTAGATAAACCACAACTAAATATCAGTCTTCAGACAACTATATGCTTACTTTACTGAGTGACTCGTGAGAGATTACCAAAGAGAAGGACATATATTTAGCAGATCAGTTAATAGACAAAAGTCAACTTTACAGACTTACCTGGCTGTCATCCATTTTGGCTTTTGGATAGTTAAAGATTAGTTTTGTTGCTTGTTCCCATTTTGCATGTGTATCTTCCCAAGCCTAAAATGAAGGCAATTATCACTTGAAAGCAACTTTAAGTCTAGAGCTAAACGTCAATCAGCAATGGCCAAGTTTCAAACTTGATGTATAATAAGTACTCAGATATTACACTTCTAACACGCACATATCTTGGATTTACTTCAAAAGCTATTCCTGATTACACATATGTGACAATAGGTTTCCAAAATTGAGGGTGGGCGCCTAGGAGGGGTGTTTCTCTTGCTAAGAGCACACCTCAGTGTTTCCTGCAGTGGGATGCTAAGTGCGCCTCCGCAGTGCCATCACTCTTTCTGAAGTGCTGCTGTTCCTAAGCAAATACAACAGCCAATCAAGTCACTGCACTTAGAGCCCTGCCTGCCAATGGAGAACCTCATAAGCCCTACCCAAAAGGCAGAGTAGGAGGAGCAGAGCAAATGCCTCAAATGATAAAGCCAAAAACTTCCTTTCACTAACCTCACAGGAAAGGTACTTATCTTAGACTCTACAATGTCCACAGCACAAAATAGCTATTCCCACCTATAATTTACTCAAAACATATGCCAATGTGCATAAAACTTCACTATCTACAACTTAGGTGGAGTAAATTATATGATCACAACTGATAATAACATATACTGCCAGTTATTTTTAAAACGTATAGCATATTAAAAACTCAGTGGGAGACTATTTCAAATGCTTTTTCTTTTCATCTTTGTTTCATTTCTTTGTTCAGAAAAGGATTTCAAGTAAGCTACTTGAATTTCCCCTGTAAACTTACAAAGTAGTAACCTTAAATACATTCTCACAATTAGATGTCACGTGCTTCAGGCAGGTTGAGTAAAAAAACCACTATTCACATTTACCTGTTGACATCACATTGCTGACAGAGGCAAACTCCATGAATGTGCTACAGTTGGGCAAGAGGTGATGCACTGACACTTCATCCACCCCACACCAGGTATCTGCTTCCTCACAGAGGTGGCGGAAACAGGACATGGCAACCAGAACAGCTTCACTGTCAGGGTTCCACAGAAACATGTACAGCGCCACACTTCTAGTTTGGTCTGCCCTTGTTGGCAAATCGGGGAAGGGGGGGCGGGGGCGGTTGCACTTCATCCTGCTGCACTATCCTGAGAGTCAAAGTTGTAAGACATATATTTGCAACTTGGGTAATTTTATGTATAAAACCCAACAATGCAATAAACTGTGTGTGTGTGTGTGTGTGTGTGTGTGTCTCAGCATACAATAACTCACAAGAGTTTTCTCCTTTAATCATCACAGGAATTTTTCAAACCCTCAAATATCTTGTCCAAATGAGAAATGAGATTATCTGGACCAACATAAAGCTACTCTCTGTCCAATTTCAAATCAAATAGGTATTATCCTATTCCAGATTCCAGAAACATAAACTGATTCTAACATAAACAGGTAAAACACTGTAACATAAATCTGCTGCAGTAATGATATAATGTACTTACCAGTCAATTAGAAATGACAAAAAAAGAAGTAGGCCGGGCATGGTGGCTCATGCCTGTAATCCTAGCACTTTGGGAGGCCGAGGTGGGCGGATCATGAGGTTGGGAGATCGAGACCATCCTGGGCTAACATGGTGAAACCCCGTCTCTACTAAAAACATAAAAAAAACAATTAGCCGGCCGTGGTGGCGGGCACCTGTAGTCCCAGTTACTCAGGAGAGGCTGAGTCAGGAGAATGGTGTGAACCTGGGAGGCGGAACTTGCAGTGAGTGGAGATTGCGCCACTGCACTCCAGCCTGGGCGACAGAGTAAGACTCTGTCTCAAAAAAAAAAAAAAAAAAAAAAAAAAAAAAAAAGAAAGCCTAGGTTTTAAAGACCAATAAAATAGTAAACGTGAACGAGGAAAAAAAGAAATGAGGAAACAGTTACAAACATAGATACTGAAGGTAATTATATGATAATATAGAAATAAAATACAGCCTTTAATTGTACAAGTAAAATATATAAATATTATATACAACTCTGCACTGATAAAATTGAAAAACATGTTTTGTAGGAAAGAACAAACCATGAAAAGTGACTTTAAAAATAATAGAAATTCTTCAAAAAATTAAAAATAGAATAACCATATGATCCAGCAATTCCGCTTCTGGATGTATATTCGGAAGAATGAAAGCAGGGCCTTGAAGTTATTTGTACACCCATGTTCACAGTAGCATTATTTATAATAGTCAAAAGGTGGAAACAACCGAAAAATCCATTGGCAGATACATTTAGATCAATAAAATGTTGGTATATACATACGATATCATTCAGCTTTCAAGAGGAAGGAAATCCTGACATGCTACAACAAGATGAATACTATTTCAGCCATAAAGAATGAAATCCTGCCTTTCAAGGCAACATGAATGGAACTGGAGGACATTATGCTAAGTAAAATAAGCCCATGTCAAAAAGACAAATACTGTATGATTCCACTTATGTGACATAGTGAAATTCAGAGAGACAGAAAGTAGAAGGATGGTTGCAGGAGTTGCAGGTAGGAAAGAATGGAGAGCAGTTGAATAGACACAGAATTTGTTTTGCACAATGAAAAGGTTTTGGAGATTGGTTGCACAACAATGTGAAAGATAGTGCTACTAAACTGTGTACTTAAAAATGGCTAAGATGGTAAATTTTATGTTATGTGTATTCTACCGCATAAAAAATTTTAAAGAGAGACAGAAAAACTACATAGATCCATAAGGCAGCTCAAATAAAAGGTGATTAAAGAGTTATTTTAAATAGACAATAGATAGGCTAGTTCTAGAAACAGCATAAGAAACCAGTAGCAGTACTTGACTTAGGAAGAAAAGTATAAACTGAAGGTCAAGAGGGAGTAGGAAGCTTACTTTTCCACTGAATTCCCTTCCTGATGTATAGTGAAAATTTCCATTATGTCAATTTATTTTTTTCTTTAAAACTAATAAGCAAAAGTCAAAGGAAATCTTAAGAGCTTCTAAACTTGATGATTTTACAATGAATTTCTATCTAATCAGATAATTTCTATTACTTAAATTATTCCAGACCATAGAAAAGAGTAATAGTTCCCAAATTCATATTCTAATTTAGCACAAATAAGTGTTAGAATAACTACTTTCAAAAGTGATAATGCATATTATGTTAAATATACACATGTTCTAAGAATCAGAAAGCTGAAACACTGGAAGGAAATGTTTTATTAAGTAGCTACCCAGTACATTTGCCAATAGCCAACCAGATTTACCTCACGCACACACACAAATCAACATACTAAAAGTAAGGATTTCCAAACATATTTCCACTCCAAATTTAAAGTGAAAGTTTAAATAACATATAAACCATCTGACTGGATACAATTCAGCCCTAAAGCTAGAGTTCAGGGCCCCTTATCTTTTGTTCATTATTAATTTTAAAATTTTTGATGTATTTATTAGTATTTATGAATAACATAGTAACATTCCCATAGATTTGCAGAGATCAAATCGAGGTAATTAGCATATCCATAATCTCATTTATCATTTCTTTGTGCTGGGAACATTCAACATCCTCCTCCTAACTCTTTGAAACTGTGTAACATATTGTTGTTAATTACAGTCATCTTACAGTGCTATACAACACTAGAACTTGCTCTTCCTATCTAGCTGTAATTTTGAAACCTTTAACAAATTGCTTTCTACCATCCCTGCACCCTATGCTTCCCAGCCTGTAGTATTCTGTTCTACTTTTTACCTCTATGAGATCAACATTTTTTTAGCTTCCACAAATGAATGAGAACACACAGTACTTAATGTTCTGTCCCTGGCTTACTTCACTTAATATGATGTCCTCCAGTTCAATCCATGTGCCTCAAACTATAGGATTTCATTCTTGCTTATGGCTAAATAGTATTCCATTGTGTATGTATACCATATTTTCTTTATGCATTCATCTGTTGTTAGATACTTAGGATGATTCCATATCTTGGCTATTGTGAATAGTGCTGCAATAAACACGGGGGTGCCGATGTCTCGTCAATATACTGATTTCCTTTTCTTTGGATAAATGTCCAATAATATATTGTTGGACCATATAATAGTTCTATTTGCAGTTTTTTGAGGAACCTCCACACTGTTCTCCATAGTGGCTGTACTAGTTTACATTTCCACTAGCCACATTTAAGTGTTCACTTTTCTCCACATCTTTGCCAGCATTTGCTATTTTTTGTCTTTTTGATAGTAGCCATTCTAAGTGGGGTGAGATGACACCTCATTGTGGTTTTGATTTGCATTTCCCTGATGACTAGTGATGTTGAGCTTTTTAGGAAAACATATTTGTTGGTTATGTGTCTGTCATCTTTTAAGAAATATCTATTCAGGTCATTTGCCCATTTTTCAGTTGGATTCTTTTTTTTTTTTTTTTTGCTATTCAGATGTCAAGAGTTCCTTGTATATTCTGGATATTAATCCTCTGCTGGATACATACTTTGCAAATATTTTCTCCCATTCTGTAGGTTGTCTTTTCACTCTGCCAATTTCTTCCTTTGAATTAATATTAATTTTTTAAAGAAAAGTAACTTAAACGCTTGACAATATGGAATTAAAAATACAGTACCTTCAAGCTGGGTGCGGTGGTGCATGCTTATAGCTGCAGCTATCTGAAGGCTGAGGCAGAAGAGGATCGCGTAAGTCCAGAAGTTTGAGACCAGCCTGGGCAACATAACAGCAAGACTCAGTCTCTTTTTAAAAAATGGTATATTCAATTTGGGGAACATGCTACAAATCCTCAAAAAACGGGTACAGAAGAAACATACTGCAACACAATAAAAACCACATGAGAGACCCCCACAGCTAGAATCATATGGAATGGGGAAAAATGGAAAGCTTTTCCTCTAAGATCTGGAACATGATAAGGATGCCCACTGTCACCACTGTTATTTAACATAGTACTGGAAACCCTAGCTAAAGCAATCAGTGCAGCCCCTGATATGGCCCCCAACCCACCCTGCCCCCTGCCACCAGCAGTGTAGCCCCCCCGCAATAGCGCACCCAACACACCCAAACCGCCCCGCCTCCCCGAACCACGGGCATTGCAGCACCCCATAGCACCCTCAACCTGAAACCACCACCCCCCCGCAACAGCCGTGCAGTGCAGCCCTGGATAGGACACTTAGCCCACCTCACTGTTGCCAGCAATACAGTCTGGGATAGTTTCCCCAACAGGCTCCCCGCCGAGGGCAGTGCAGCCCCGGTTAGGGCCCCCAAACCACCCCCCGGTGCAGGCAGCACAGCCCCAGATAGCACACCTAACCAGCCACCCAAGGTGGGCAGTGACGCCTGAGATAGGGCCCCCAACCCGTCCCAGGCCAAGGGCAGTGCAGCCCTGGATAGCCACTTACCCCGATGCTTTTCTACACTCTGGCCGGTTGCAGTGTCCATCGCTGCCACCAACCGCAGCGGGCAAGGCAAGCCAGCGAGGCAAGGCGAGGCAAGCCGGCGAGGTGGTGAGCCAGGGAGGCCAGCCACAGCCCGGTAGGCTGCAGCCTCCAGCATGCAGTGGCTGGCACCTCCTACTCCAAGCTGGCAATGGAGCAGCTATGAAGTCAGACGCCGACGAGGCTGGACTAGTGCAACTCTATCTCTTAACATGCTTTATATACCGAGATTATAAACTACATGTTCTGAGTGGATGAGAGGAAAACACTAGGCCTACTCTGATTGGACTTTATTGTCACGTTCTGATTGGTTAGCCTAAGACTTGTTCTGATCCAATCAGAACATGAAAATAACGTCCAATCAGAGTAGGCGTAGATGTTTCTTTCATCCAATCAGAACGTGAAGTCCGAGAACCAGGCCTGCACAACCCCCAGTATATAAGGTATGCTAAGGGGGCGTCGCGCTGTTGCAGGCTATCGTGTGTTAGCCTCTACTTCTCCCGCAGAGTTTGGAGAAAGCGGCAGCAGAGTGTGCTGCCGCAGGCTGGAGCCTGGAACCTGGAGCCCTGGAGCCTTGAATGGTGTGTGGTGGCAATGGAGAGAGGCAGCTGGCAGTGACAGCTGCTCCGTGCTTGGCTACAGGAAGGAAAGAAGGAGAAGGCACCTACCATAGGCTGTAGGCTAGAGCCTGCAGGACTGCGGCTGGCCTCGCTGGCTCGCCTCCCTGGCTGGCCTCGCTGTGGTTGGTGGCAGCGACGGATACTGCAGCTGGCCAGAGTGTAGAAAGGCAATGGGGTAGGTAAGCTATCCAGGGCTGCCCGCGGCGGGGGCTGGTTGGGGTATTATTCCGGGTGTCACTACTTTGGGTGTACTAGAGTGTTATTTTGGGCGTCACTGCTTTTAGGTGTGCTATCCGGGGCTGCACTGCCCTCAGCAGCGGGTGGGGGGGGGGTTGGTGGGGGGCGGGTTGGGGTCACTATCTTGGGCTGTATTGATGGCAGCAGTAGGGCTGGTTGGGGGCGCTATTGGGTGCTGCACTGCCCGCGACAGGGGCCGGGTTGGGGCTGCTATTGTGGTTGCACTGCCGGCGGCATGGTGGTGGGAGGGCTGGTTAGGGTGCGGACTGGTGGGGGTGCTTACTGGTCGGGCTTCATTGCTGACAGCGGGGTGGGGATGCTATCTGGGGCTGCACTGCCCATGGTGGGGGCTTGTTGGGGGCGCTATGTGGGGCTGCAATGTCCATGGCAGGGGAGAGGTTAGAGGCAGTATCAGGTGCTACACTGCTGGTGGTGGGGCGGGGCAGCGGTGGGTGCGGGTAGGTGCTTGGAGGGTGCGGTTTCGGGCGCTATCGGGCCAGACTGCCCATGATAGAGGGCAGGTTTGGGTGCGCTACTAGGGGATACACTCCTCACAGCAAGGGGCGGTTTGGGGGTGATACCCGGCCGGTGGCAGGCGGGGTGGTGGGGTGGGTTGTGGGCACCGTTCGGGGGCTGCACTGTGGTCAGTGGCGGTGGGGCGAGTTAGGTGCTCTATCAGCTGCTGCACTGTTTGTGGTGGGGGCTGGGTTTGGTGTGCTATCGGGGACCATATTTTTGGCAGCGGTATACAGGTTAGGGGTGCTGTCGGAGGCTGCACTGCCCATGGCGGGGTGCGGGTGGGGTGCACTATCCAGGGCATCATTCCCCCTGGGTGGGGGATAGTTGGGGGTGCTATCTGCTATGTAGGGCTGCACTGCTCGTCGTGGGGAGGGGGTTGGGGACCTTAAGGATCCATGGCTGCACTATTGACGGCATGGAGCAGGTGGCCGTGCTCTCCGGGGCATCACTGCCCACAGCCGGGGGTTAGTTGGAGGTCCTATCCGTGGCTGCATGGCCGACGGCAGACGGTAGGATGGGGGAGTTATCTGGTGCTGCGACGTCCGAGGCAGGGATGGGTTGGGGGCGCTATTGGGTTTTACATTGCAGCGGCGAGGGGCGGTGTTGGGGGCGCTATCCCAGAGCCAACATCAGGCAGCGGATTAGGGGCGCCATCAGGGGCTGCCTTGCTGGTGGCGGCAGAGCTTGCAGCAACAGGGTCTCCAAGGAAGGAGCCTTCTTCCTCTTTCTGGATTTCAGACTCTAAAAGGCGATCTCCTCCTGCTCCTGCTAGAGCGCAGCGAGCGCACGGCGTTTCCGCAGTAATCCTGAGCACGGCAAGGACCCCTTACCCGCCGTGGTTCCCGGGGCCACGCCCTTTTCGCTCTGTGTTGCGGAGACCACCTGGCACCCCTAGGCACGCTGGACACGGAGTGGCGGGGACACCACGGGGAGACAGGGCTCTGTGGGTGGAGGCATCAGGATGGGGAACCGGCATTTGGGTGGGAGGGCTGGCTGTGTCTGAGTTCCTGCTGATTTTGTTCCCCAAGGAGCGCAGTCCTGGTGGGCCCAGCGGTTCCTGTGGATTGGAGCCAGGCAGTGTGATGTTACCAGTCACCACTCCAGGTCCCAGTTCCTGGCCCGCTTGAGCCAAAAGGAGAGGCTGGACTTTGGAGGGTGGATATGAGTGCCTTCACTGAGACTGGCCCCTGCCACCCAGTGGCCAGGATGACAAGGTGAGGCTCTAACGCTATCAGTCTCTGCATTCTCCTCTAGGCTTTTTTGGCTTTGTGTGTCCAGCTGTTCCATGCCAGGAGGAGGAGGAGTTACATGCTGGAAGCTTGCAGATAGCCTGGGGCTGCTGCTCGCCTTGCTGCGGTTGGTGGCAGCTACCGAGACTACCTCGCACCAGAGCGGTAGGAGGACGGCCAGCTGCGGCCATGGCAGGGGCAGGGCTGCGGCGGTGGCCAGGTAGTAGGAGCTTTGTAGGGTGGGCCAGTGCATTGAGGGCAACAGCAGCGATGGTTATAGTGACATCTGTGCTAGTTGTGGCAGCAGCCGCAAGTCCAGGGGCCGGGAAGAGGGAGTAGGAGCGCTGCGGGGCCTGCCCGGCCAGGCCTAGGGTGGGTTAGGAAGCTTCGGGTGCTGTACCACAGGCCTCGGTGGAAGTGGTGGAGGAACAGCCAGGGCAAGGAGGAGTTCTCCCCCTTCTCCTGCAGTCTCTGGAGGGCGACCTCCTCCTACTGGCGCATGAGCCCGGTGTGAGTGTCAGCATATTATCTCACTCTTTCTTCCAATATAATACAGTCATGCACTGCATAACAACGTTTCACCAGTGATGGCCTGCATGTATCAGGGTAGTTCTATAAAATTGTAATGAAACTGAAAAATCCTCATTGTCTACTGACAGCATAGCCGTCTTAACCTTGTAATACAACGCAATACTCACGTGTTTGTAGTGATGATGGCGTAAACAAACCTACTGAGCTCCTGGTTCTATGAAAGTATAGCGCATATAGGCCAGGCGTGGTGATTCACACCTGTAATCCCAGCACTTCGGGGGGCCAAGGCGGGCAGATCACGAGGTCAGGAGATCGACACCATCCTGGCTAACACGGTGAAACCCCGTTTCTACTAAAAATAGAAAAAATTAGCTAGGGGTGGTGGCAGGCCCCTGTAGTCCCAGCTACTCGGGAGGCTGAGGCAGGAGAATGGGGTGAACCCGGAAGGTGGAGCTTGCAGTGAGCCGAGATCGCGCCACTGCACTCGAGACTTGGCGACAGAGCGAGACTCTGTCTCAAAAAAAAAAAAAAAAAAAGTATAGCACATTTAAGTATACATAGTACATAAAAGTTGATAATGAACAACTATGTTACTGGTTTATGTGTTTAGTATACTATGATTTTTGACATTATTTTAGAATGCATTCCTTCTACTTACAAACAAAAAAGTTAACTAAAATAGCCTGAGGCAGGTCCTTCAGGAGCTGTTTCAGAAGAAGGCATTGTTACCATGGGAGATGACAGCTCCATGTGTGGTATTGCTTCGGAAGACCTTCCAGTGGGAGGAGATGTGGAGATGGAAGACTGATGTTGATGATCCTGACCCAGTGTAGGCCTAGGCTAGTGTGTGTGTATTTGTGTGTTAGCTTTTACCAAAACAAAGTTTAAGAAATTTGTATGCTTATTTTTTGTTCTGAATACTTACCAAGATACAACTTACAGAGAGGAAGCATCGAGGCACCTGAGTGTGTCTTTTTAACGCTGACATTATCATTGAGAAAAAAATTAAAACACAGAAAAAGCTATTTTTCTTAAGAAAAAGTTTGAGTGTTTTTAACAAATCTATAAATTGATTTGCAATTTCATGGTATCTTTATTGGTAATGTACCTTCAACAATGCAATCATGTGCACATACTTTACTGAGGAGGCACTTAACACAGGCTGAATCACCTATAGATATATTCAACTGATTACCTGTGCCTGTGAGAATACACAAGGTAAACTCTAATGATGTATCAATAAGTAGAAAGCTATGAAGCAAATTGAGACAATTATCTAAATCATCCTGTCAGAAATTCCCTTTTTATCTGGACTACTAGGCCAATAAAATATCATTAATTTCTGGAACCTGTGAAGTTTGCCTCTGTTCAGTTAATTAGGGAAATGAGTCTCTAAACAAATAAATAATGTAAACCAGCAGATTGTGGTCTCCACAAGAGTCAAAGGCAAATAACTGCTCTCAACCATTTGTAAATCCAGTCAAGGAAAAATAGTTTTGTCATAATGAAGAATATTTTATTATAAAATTTGTTATATGATATTGATTATATAAAATATTTTAACATCACATTAAATTAATATGTTAAGGGAAATTAGATTTTGAAATGTTTTATTCTCATTGCTCTATCTTAACTGTATCTATTTGAATGTTCTAGTAGCATGTAGAATCTAATAAAATATCAACTATATAGGGACCTGAAAATACATTGTAGCTATTACTTATCTTTGCGTTTTCAATGTCAGAAAGTTCATTGTCATAGGTAATCTAGTAAGCAAAAGTTAATTTTTCTGAATTTAATTAATTTAAATAATTGTATCATGTGCATTAACCAGTTCATGTAATCCAAGTTAAATTTTACATGCCCTATGGCAAGAAGTTCTAAATCCCTAATGTACATCTCTAAAAGACATGATTTCTTTCCCCAGACTTATCTCATCTTTTTATCTATCCATCTCTTTCTTCCACTAACAAAAAATTCTTTTTATCTATCCATCTCTTTCTTCCACTAACAAAAAATTCTATCTCAATAGTTGTAAATCAGTTGTATCACTAGTCCCATTCCATCTATGAGAAAACTCCAGTTCAGGGATGTTAAGTGACTTCATTAATGCCCCACAGCTAATCAGTAGGAAATAACCAGGAGTGGAGGCTAGAAACCACTCCAGATCTATAGTCTTAACATTGTGCTATGTTTGCTGTGTACTTTCTGACATACAAGTCATAAAAGTATTTCTCAATTCTCTGGGAAATTTCTACACTCCACTCTTGCTCAGCCTGTTCATATACCCAGAGCCCATCACTTATGTCAGCCTTTTGAATTTTACAAATTTTGTTAAAATAAGATACCATTCCTGGTGCTTTTTCCAATTCTAAATAGAGTGATTTTTATTTTTGTGCAATTCTTAACCATTGGATCTATTCCCTTATTATGCCATTTGTCATTATTTACCAGCATTGTTTTTACATTTTTATAGGTATTCTCTTCTCTACTAATTTAGGGGCTCTTTGAAGATAATAATTACCTTGCTGTACTTTAAATACACCAAAATTTGTTATGATTGCTGAAGAAGTAAAAACAAAGTGAAAGCTACCAATTTTATTCAGTTCAAATAGTGGTATACCTCAGATATCGTGGATTCAGTTCCAGGCCACTGCAATAAAGCAAGTCAGACGGAAGTGTTTGGTTTCCCAGTGCATCTAAAGTTTATGTTTATACTACACTGTAGTCTAGTAGGGGTGCAATAGTATTATGTCCATCTTACCATTTCTGTCTATTCAATATATTGGCTATGGGTTTGTCATAAATAGCTCTTATTATTTTGAGGTGTTTCACCAATACCTAGTTTGAGAGTTTTTAACATAAAGGGACGTTGAATTTTATCAAAGGCCTTTTCTGCATCTATTGAGATAATCATGTGGTTTTTGTCTTTGGTTTTGGTTATGTGATGTATTGTGTTTATTGATTTGCAAATGTTGAACCAGCCTTGCGTCCTAGAATCCACCTGGTCTTGGGCTTTTTTTGATCAGTAGGCTATTAATTACTGCCTCAATTTCAGAACTTGTTATTGGTCTATTCTGGAATTCAACTTCTTCCTGAATTAGTCTTGGGAAGGTGTGTGTGTCCAGGAATTTGTTCATTTCTTCTAGATTTTCTAGTTTATGTGCATAGAGGTGTTTATAGTATTCTCTGATGGTAGTTTGTATTTCGGTGGAGTTAATCATTTTTTTGTGTGTCTATTTGATTCTTCCCTCATTTCTTCTTTATTAGTCTAGCTAGTGGTCTATTGATTGTGTATTTTTTTCAAAACACGAGCTCCTGGATTCATTGATTTTTTGGAGAGTTTTTATTTCTGCATCTCCTTCAGTTCTGCTCTGATCTTAGTTCTTTTTTTCTGCTAGCTTTTGAATTTGTTCTTGCCTTTCCAGCTCTTTTAATTGTGATGTTAGAATGTCAGTTTTAGATCTTTCCCACTTTCTGATGTGGGCATTTAGTGCTATAAATTTCGCTCTTAACACTGCTGTAGTTGTGTCCCAGAGATTCTGGTACATTGTCTCTTTGTTCTCATTGGTTTCAAAGAATTTCTTGACTTCTGCCTTAATTTCGTTATTTTTCCAGGAGTCATTCAGGAGCAGGTTGTTCAATTTCCATTTAATGGTGTGGCTTTGAGTGAATTTCTCAATCTTGAGTTCTAATTTGGTTGTGCTGCCGTCTAAGAGACTGTTTGTTATGATTTTAATTCTTTTGCATTTGCTGAGGAGTGTTTTACTTCTGATTACATGATCAATTTTAAGGTGCCACGTGGTGATGAAAAGAATGTATACTCTGTTGTTTTGAGCTGGAGAGCTCTGTAGGTATCTATCAGGTCTGCTTGATCCAGAGCTGAGTTCAGGTCCTGAATATCTTTGTTAGTATTCTGTCTCAATGATCTGTCTAATACTGTCAGTGAGGTATTAAAGTCTTCCACTATTATTGTGTGGGAGTCTAAGTCTCTTTGTGACTCTTTGCTTTATGAATCTGGGTGCTTCTATATTGGGTGCATATGTAGATTAATAGAGTTAGCTCTTTTTGCTTAATTGAACCCTTCACCATTATGTAATGCCCTTGTCTTTTCTGATCTTTTTGGTTTAAAGTCTGTTTTGTCAGAAACTAGGATTGCAACCCCTTCTTTGATTTCTATTTGCTTGGTAAATTTTCCTCCTTCCCTTTATTTTGAGCCTATGTGTGTATTTGCACGTCAGATGGCTCTTTTCAAGACAGCATAGTGATGGGTCTTGGCCCTTTATCCAGCTTGCCTTTCTGTGTCTTTTAATTGAGGCATTAAGCCCATTTACATTTAAAGTTAGTATTGTTATGTGTGAATTTGATCCTGTCATCATGATGCTAGCTGGTCATTTTGCAGAATTGTGCATGTGGTTGCTTCACAGTGTCCCTGGTCTGTGTATTTCAGTGTGTTTTTGTAGTGGCTGGTAACAATTTTTTCTTTCAATTTTCAGTGCTTCTTTCAGGAGCTCTTACAAGGCAGGCCTGAGGGTGACAAATTCCCTCAGGATTTGCTTGTTTGTAAAGGATCTTATTTCTCTTTCACTTATGAAGCTTAGTTTGACCAGATATGAAGCTCTAGGCTGGAAATTATTTTCTTCAAGAATGTTGAATATTGGCCCCCAATCTCTTCTGGCTTGGAGGGTTTCCACTGAGAGGTCCACTGTTATTCTTATGGCTTTCCCTTTGTAGGTGACCTGGACTTTCTCTCTGGCTGCCCTTAACATTCTTTCTTTAATTTCAACCTTGGAGAATCTGATCATTATGTGTCCTGGGATTGATTTTCTCATGGAGTGTCCTACTGGAGTTCTCTGAATTTCTTGAAGTTAAATGTTGGCCTGTCTTGCTAGGTTGGGGAAGTTCTCCTGGATGATATCCTAAAGTATGTTTTCCAACTTGATTCCATTCTCCCCATCTCTTTGAGGTACCCCAATCAGTCGTAGGTTCTGTCTCTTTACATAATCCCATATTTCTTGGAGATTTTGTTTAGTCTTTTTTATTCTTTTATCTCTATTGTTTCCTGCCTGTTTTATTTCAGAAAGATAGTCTTCAAGCTCTGAGATTCTCTCCCCTACTTGTCTCCATTTTTCTCGGGAGGTATTTTAACAAAATTTAAAGAAATTACCACACCGTTTACAATTACTGTGTATGTTTGTGTTTATGTGTGCACGTGTGTGTATGATGAACCCAAGGAAAGAATATTCTAAAATGAGGACCAGTAATGTTATTTTCTATATTTTTTTCTTAGTACTGAACCCAAAAAAGGAATATCGAGAATGTTTCAGACAGTAGAGTAAGATAGAGATAAATCCTACAATTGCCACTTATAATCTGGGTAACTTTGGGAAAATTACCTTTCTTTTGAACTTATTTTATTAACTTTTAGAATGAGAATAATAAAAATACCCTCCTCATAGGACTGTGGTGAAGATTAAGAGAACTAATTAATATAAAACACAGCATGGGGCCAAGCATATGGTAAGACCTTAAGGAATTTTATTTCGTTAATTATAAAACACACATTTCTCCCTACATTTTAACATCTCAGTAGAGAAAATGTCTTAGAATTTATGTTCTTATAGTTGATGAAGCAAGGATTCTTACCTAAATACATGATTTATAATTGAAACATAGTTTTTTGTTTAAAAATGTTAGAAATCAACACTATGAAATCAGATACCAATTCTGTCAGTGGGGATAGTTTGCAGTGAGGGAAATAAAATGGAGAATTTTGCAAATTAGGACAAAATTAATATATGTTCTCTTTATTTTGAGTTTATTCATATTTATTCCACAAACATTTGAATGGATATCCATGTGCCAAATTCTGTGTAGGACAAATTTCATAAGATGAATAACATATATTTGTCTTCAAAGATCTAACACATGTTCATGGAAGACAACAGAACCATATAAGTACAGCATCAGTTATAAATATCTAAGCTAATTGTTTACATAGAAGCAAGACTTAATTCATAGGAGAGGAGAGGGTGGGGAAAGACAAAATGAAAGATGTGATTTCTGAACTAAGTCTCAACAGACTGGTAACATGAGTCAGGTGAAAGGTGAGAGGAAGTACGCTCTAAAAGGAGGAAATAAAAAAGGACTTGGGAGAAGAAGAGAGAAGAATCTCTCTTAGGAAACTACATGATATTTAATTTGGATGAAATATTTGCAGAAGGAGTAAAAATTCTAAGCTAGAAGTTTAAGAAGGGTCAGCTTACGGAGGACCTTGCCTGGTTATGCTGATGGGCTTAAACTGTGGCAGGAGTTAAATGAAAATACTCTGAAACAGTTTAAAATGGAGGGGTGATACACTCACAATTTTATTTCCAAACTGTTGTTCAGAATGAATTAAAGTGGATAGGATTGAAGACAAAGAGGATGGTTAGGAGCTTATTGTGATCATCATTAACAGTGGTATTGCACATGTAGTAAAATGGGCAGATTTGAGAGATTATGAAGGTGATAGAATCTATAGTACTTGATGATTAATGGAATGTGAAATAGAGATAGAAGTTAAGTTGTAATAACCACATCTCAGTTCAAATGATAAACAAATGCCATGCAGATCTAGAGCAGGGGCCATGTTCCCAAACAATTTGCCTGAGCCATTGTGCCTAACACAGTGCTGAGTCCACAATAAACCAATGCCAAACAGTTGTGCATTGATATATCATCCATTCTTCTGGAAATTCGAGGATTTCACATACAGATGTCCATATTGAATTAATACATAATTATCAAGAGAAAAATAGCCCTGAGTCAACATTCTAGAAATGTTCAATTGTCTAGAGTGGATTTTCTCATTGTCCTTTTCCATAACAACATAGTGACTTGGAATATAACGTGGCACTAAAAAATAGAAGAATAAAAAGGGTCTTTGAAGCAATTCCTTTTTATCTTGCTTTATTCTTAACAGCAGTTCTCTGGTCTTAATTCTTTTATGGTTCCAGGAGAATTACATTTCAAATTCCGTAATTGCACAGGAGAATTGGAGTCTTGTAAAAATTTAGAATACTTCGTTCAAAGGCAACTTTTATTATGAACTGAACCTATGCTGTGATGCAGCCAAAGAAATTGTTTAGAGCATCATTAAAATAACCTTTTTAATAAGACCACTTTCTCTTGAAAAAGTGTAGTACCCTCTTATTTAATATTACCATATTACAATTGACTGTATGTTTGCTGAAAGTCTCATAGTATGGTATTTAGTTTATTGAACTAGCACAAAATATACATGAACTTTATCAGTTTTCATTTTCCCTTTAACAAACCAAGAACAATATTAAATGACATTTTATGACATTTGATAGGTATTTAAAATTTGTTATTGCGGCTCTTCAGTGAACCATAAAATAACAAGTGTCACAATATGGCTGTGCTTTCATTATGAGAAATGCAAGCAGGAAACATTTAAATCAGCATCATTTTCCATCAGTGTTTTGCTCCTGATTCTCTGCCAAGTTCATTATCTCCTCTGTGCCTAAATTTGTCCATATGAAAAATTAGGAGAAAAAAGAATAAATTAATACTTGCCTCTAAAATGATCTGAAACCCAGGTATGGAAAATCTTACACAAGTTTAAAAGACTGGTTTATCCACTACTGTCCTCATTCGTTTGAACAGACCGCAATGTTCTGTGGGAGAGTAGCTGAGAGACTGATGCAATAATAGTCCTTTTCACACCTTCCATCCAGAAAGACAATTTTTTTATTTGCAGCTGAAGCTATTATATCCAGAGCCTATGGCTGTTTGCCTCTTTTAACGATGGAAATTTTGAAAGAGAAACAGCAAGTAAAATGTGAAAATGTCCTCTGGGATATTATTTTATTACTACATGTCCCTTATTTAGCAAACTAGATGCAATATAAAAAATTAAGTCTGGTGCCTGGTTGGCAAAAAATCAAATAACAGGTACTAAAGAAATAATGATGAGCTAACCTAAGCTGTGTGTGTGTGTGTGTGTGTGTGTGTGTGTGTGTGTATGTGTGTGAGTGCGCGCATGCCATAAAGCCAAGGTGGAGAGGTGAATGAAAAAGTCATTAGAGGAGAGGGAAAAGCCATATCGCTTGAAAAAAGCACCATGGTATCATGGTGGAAGAATGGGCTTTAGACGCTGGCAAGCTTGGGTTCCAATTATGGCATTTTGTAGTGCGCTATTTATTTCTGAGCATTAATTTCTACAATGAAAAAATGCATAATACCATAGGGTTTGAAGGATCAAGTGAGATGATTGAAATAAAGTATGAATCAAGATGTCTGTCATTAATTCTCTCTTTTAATCATGGGATCTATTGACAATGCAAAAGTGTACCCAGTATAGCAGTAGAATGATAGTGTATCTCTTGAGATAATGTGTCAGGTTGTTCGCTAATGCCTTTTTCATAGAAATATTGTTGAGCTGCCTTCACATAGATAGAACATCTGGGTTACAACCACTTTGCAGAAAAGCTACCAGGTACAGCTTTTTGAAATTGCCTGCCTGGGTTTAAATTACAGTCTTGTAGTAACTCTTTGGTGCATTTTAGTAACTGCTGAACCGTGTGATGTTGAGTCAATCACATTGATTGGAAAGGAAATTTAACGCATCAGACAATGGAAAGTTACTAAGGTTAGTTGACATAGAATGCTCTTAAGTTAGTTCATGGTAAGTTATGCAAGTAGAGGAGATCATAGATAACTAAATAGCAGGCAAACTGCAAAAAGACTAGCAGAAGTTGGCCAGGCATAGTGGCTCACGCCTGTAATCCCAGCACTTTGGGAGGCCAAGGCAGGTGGATCATGAGGTCAGGAGTTCAAGACCAGCCTGTCCAACTTGATGAAACCCTGTCTCTACAAAAATATAAATTAACCAGGCATGGTGGCTGGCACCTGTAATCCCAGCTACTCAGGAGGCTGAGGCAGGAGAATTGCTTGAACCCAGGAGGCAGAGGTTGCAGTGAGCTGAGATCGTGCCACTGCACTCCAGCCTAGGCAACAGAGTGAGACTCTCTCAAAAAAAAAAAAAAAAAAAAGACTAGCAGAAGCACATCAGTTGTTACTATTCTGTAGCAAGTTCAACCAGAATGTATCTCTTTGCTGTTCTCACAGCAAAAATTATAAATGTTTGAGGTGATGGATATGCTAATTACCTTCATTTGATCATTACACAATCTATACATGTATTGAAGCATCATATTTTATCCCATAAATATGTATAATTAGTATATCAATTAAAATTAAAAAATGATAGCAACAACTATTACTCCTTTATATTACACTACTACAAGCGCTTTGTTTATAGCTTATATCCTTGGGAACCTTTTTTCTATTGCATATAGAATGTATAATACAGTCTGTGCTAAATGTCATAGAGCTTTTACAAGCCAGATAAAATTTGACTGTACAGTTAAGAGGTCAAAAAGCCATCTGCCACAATGTAGAGCCCATCTCAGGAAATTAGGATATAAAAATTTTCCAGCAAATGATTTGTAAGAAGTCATGAGTTTTATGGGGAATAACTGGTTAGCCTGGTAACAGATCTAGTGAGTTCTGAAGAATCATATATCCCATCTATGCCCATATTGAAATAGTGGCAGTGCTAGGTTTGTTCTATAATGAATTGTGGGTAGCTGTTGCAGCCTTCTCCTACTCCATATCTTTATTGTGGTCACTGACCTTATATTATTAAGTGTGTACAATATAGATTTAAAGGGTAGACATTGGGTCACCTTTGATGAAAGAGTCTTACTTCAAGAATATGTACCGTATTCTCTCAACTGACAGTAATTAATGTCACTGATATGGACAGTATTCATATCACCATAATGAAGCCATAAAACATTGTGGCTAAAATAATTTGTGAAGCTCATTTTGAAGAACTTGTGAAAAGCTAGGCCTTGGTGCCAAGGATAGAGAGAAAAGCAACAGTAATGAGGAAAGCACTGACACCTCTTTGGAGGAAAATGTGGCCATATTGACCAAAATTTAAAGTGTGCACACTTAGGCCAGGTGTGGTGGCTCACGCCTATAATCCCTGCACTTTGGGAGGCCGAGGTGGGTGGATCACTTCAGGTTAGGAGTTTGAGGCCCGCCTGGCCAACATGGTGAAATCCCATCTCTACTAAAAATGCAAAAATGAGCCGGGTGTGATGGCAGGTGCCTGTAGTCCCAGCTATTCAGGAGGCTGAGGCAGGAGAATCGCTTGAACCCGGGAGGTGGAGGTTGCAGTGAGCTGAAATCATGTCACTGTATTCCAGCCTGGGCGGCAGAGAGAGACTCTGTCTCAAAAAAAAAAAAAAAGTGCACAGTTTATGACTCAGCATTTTCACTTTCAGAATATTTCTTTCAGATATTGTGTATTTTGCAAATTTCTACATAAATTAATAAGCTTTCAGCATTATTTGTCATAGCTGAATCTTGGAAACAAATACGTCTATTAATAGGTGACTGAATCAATAAATCATGTTACATTTAGAGAATGAAAAACTACACAGCCATTAAGAATTAAGATAGATGTATACATTTTGATAAGAAGCAGTATGTCCAAGAAGTAGTTCTAAGTGAAATAAAGTACAGAAACGTGTGATTAGTACGCTATAATTTATTTAAAAACGTGCTTACAAAGTAATGATAAATGATTGAGGTGACAGATATCCCAATTACCTTGATTTGGTCACTACATACTATATACCTGTATCAAAATAACACGTGTACCTTGTAAATATGTAAAACTATTACCTGTTAATATTATGCATTATGTAAATTAAAAATTAAATGCCCAAAGCCATGTGTTTATACACATATTTGTAAATGCACTGATTATCTATATGTGACTTAGGAATAGCAGTTTTCTTTTAGAAGAACTGAGGGTCTTGGGTGGGAGAGCTATCTTACTGTCTAAAAATACTATTCAATATTTATTTATTTTTTTCTATGTGGCTGGATTACTTAAGTAAAAGAAAGCTTTGAAGGCAAAGCTAGTGTACTGTGTGTTTCACTTAGGACATCACTTAAGACAAACCAATAGTTTGACACAGGAAGATTGTTATTGATGATTGGAACATACTAAAGTAAAAAAATCTGTCCTCACATTCTTTTCATTTCTTCCTATAAACAATAAAAGAGATTCTTACCCTTTTGTTCAAATTGAAATCTCCCCCTTCACATTCTGTATTCCATCCTCTACCACAGTTACAGGGAGCGAGTACCTTTGCTTACCACCTTTCTCTCCTTTCCCTGCTCAACCTTACCTTACAAAAACAAAAACATAATTCTTCCTTGATCTAACATCCCCCTTCAGTTTTCATCTCTCTCCTCTCCTTTAGCCAAGCCCCATGTCTATACCGGTTCTCTGTATCTCTCATTGTCACTTCACTCCTCAGCCTACAGCAATCTGGTTTCCTTCTCCACAATGTCTCTGAAATTTTGCCAAAGTCACCAGTGATTTCTATGTACCTAAATCAAATGGTTACTTGTAAGTTCGTGAATTGTTTGACTTTTTAGCAGTGTTTGACCAGACTGACAACTCTCTAAATGAAAATTCAAAGAAAATCCCATTTTCTTTGCTTATTTTCTTCTGTTTTTTTTTTCCCCCTCTCTATTTACTTTTCCTGTTTCTTTTTTGGTATTTTGCTTCTCCACCTATCCACTATATATTTATTTGTGCTTATTATGGCATTGCTGGTGGCTTGATGTTAGACTCTCTGCTCTTTTCTCATACATATTTCTTAGGCAGTATTTCTTAGGAAGTATATACCCACTTCAGGTCCAAATGCCCTTTCTGTGCTAACAGCTTCTAATATCTAATATATCTATTACCCTCTCCTGAGCTTGAGACTTTTCTGTCCAATCGCTGACTGGTTGTCTTTACTTGGATATCTCAGTGACACATAGTTGACCATGTGTACAAGTGAACTCATTGTGTTACCTCAAATTTTCCCTTCTGGGGTTTGCTATGTCACAAATTAATTACTTTTTGGAGGCAGATTTCCTTACTGTGATATCAAGAGTGAGTGAAAAAAGTGTCTGGTGAATAGTAGTTATTTCACAAATATTTATTGACTCAAGGATTGAATCAATTAATGATACCATGTATGATAAATATCATCAAATGTATAGTACAGAACATTTTGAAACATTTAAAATATTGAAAGACAAGATACCGAAAGTGCAGATTATCCTAATGTGGTAAAATTATGCTACCTCTCTAAGGATGACTATGAATAACAAGGAAAAAGAGTTAATCAAGCATTAATTCCCTGTTAAATTTCTTTCTGCTTAAAATTTTGGAGTTGTTTTTCTATCTTGTACTGAACTCTGATATGTATAGCAATGTATGTGTGAAATGCTGTGATTCAAGGGTAGAAACTAAATTAAAAAAAGGGAAGAATCAAAATTTAACAAAGTAGCTAATCTTTCTGAGGGCAAGTTGTCAAAATTTTGGCAATGGTGTTGAGTGTATGCAGTGTATGCATGACCAATATCCAGAAAGGGGTATCCTGGAAGAGGTTGTATATAGTACTCATCTTCACTCAGTGAATTTTTGACTGAAGGAAAATTTTAAAAAAATTTATTAGATACAAAGTAAGAACCCATGGTCCTGAGGGCTTTCTAAGGTAAAAAGACAAAAGGCAAGAAAAGATCTTTGCATCAAAGAGCTTAAAGTATTATAGTTAATTTAAACATATAGTTGTTTTACATTCTTTTAATAAAGGTTTAATCATATGCTTACATGAAGAACAAAGGAAGCTTAAATGTTGTAGTTGTTACTCTGTTCACCAGTATTTTGTTTTTCCTCCTGAGTGCATGATAGAATTGTACCTCCCTGACACTTGGAAATTAGATGTGACCAAAAGACTACCCTGATTTGCCTATCGATTTCTGAATAGATGTAATGGCATGCAATTTTCAGATGGAAGTTTTAAGAGCTAGTGTGTGATTTGCCTAAGAAGGATGGTGACATTTTACTGCAGAGATAGAAAGTGAGGGCATATGGGCAGAAAGACCAGCATTAGCAAACCCATGGAAAACAGGGATTGAATTTATAGACATAGAGATACCTGAAACAGGGCAGCAAAATAATATTTTCAAGAACATGTTTTCTATCAATATTTCTAATTTAATTTTATAGCATCTAAGAAAGTGATATACCACTCACATAAAGTCTTAAACGCTCTACATTTTAATTGAACTTTAATTATATCTTTTAATTTCCATGGCTGGCTTTAAATTAAATTTAATTCTACTTACCAGGATTTTAAGAGCTTCTGAATTTGTCCTATCCTCAACTTTCTGCAACTGGGTTTACAGCTGTATTTTCTCACTACTGTTAATTGAATGCTGATGGTAGGGATAGTTCTTACTATTTTTTCCCCCTGTAACTATGTTCACTTAATTCAAGGTCCTCAGGTCTCTGTAAACCTTTGCATTCAAAAAACTAAAAAACTCCACACTGCTTCCTACTGCTAAAGGTTTTTCTTATTTCTGCCCCACAGGTTTTGGCTCAAGCTAAAGGAAGGATTGTGCTTGCCGTGAATGTAGATAGGCACAAGATCATATATTTCAAAGGAAATCATATTCAAATTCAAATACAACCTAATGGTGATCTTGTGGTAAATGTATCCACTAACACTCACTTTCTATTCCTTCCTAGTAATTGTTCAGTCTCCAGAAATTATTTCCGTAATTTATTCCTGTTATTTCAGAATTGAGTCTTTGAAGGGAATAAGCCCACTGAATTATATGTTGATACAGCCATTCACAAATTGCTTTTTTAATACATTCTTCAAAATGTAAAAATGTTGGTTTCAATTGGTCACTTTCTTCTCCAAACAATTTTTTTAAAGTGGATCAAACATGAAATAAGTTTATTTCTTTCTTTATTTTTTTGAGACGGAGTCTCGCTGTCACCCAGGTTGGAGTGCAGTGGCGCAATCTTGGCTCATTGCAACCTCTGCCTCCTGGGTTCGAGCAAGTCTCCTGCCTCAGCCTCCCGAGTAGCTGGGATTACAGGTGTGTGCCACCACACCCAGCTAATTTTTGTATTTTTTAGTAGAGACAGGGTTTTGCTATGTTGGCCAGGCTGGTCTCGAACTCCTGACCTTAAATGATCCACACACCTCGGCCTCCCAGAGTGCTGAGATTACAGGCATGAGCCACCATGCTGGGCCAAAAGAAGTTTATTGCTCACTTAAAATCTGAATGGGTGCTCCTGATTGGCAGGTTCTTCAAGTGCTGATTCTGGAATTCAGGACTTCTCTTTGACTTCATCATCTTCATAAATGTCTTTCAATGTCATTGTGCTCAATGGTATCAAAAATCATCAAGGCCCTTGTATGGGTAGGGCCTGAAGTGTTGCACAGCAGTTTTCATTGTTTTCTCTGAACTAGAACTCGGTCACATGACCACACCTAACTCCAAAGGGGACCCAGAAATGTGATCTACACTTGAAAAAGAGGAAATGGATTTGTCTTTTTCACACAATTGATATCTTAACTTCTGAGTTGACTAACATCTACCTTGTTTGATCTATATGTGGAGAAAAAGAGTTTATAAGAAATAAAGATGGGTAGCTCTGTGGATTTCTGGGCATAAGATCCTTCTGGATTTAGTGGGCAAGATCTTCAAACTGCCAATTGGGCAACATGGATGAAAAATTTGGGGTCTTGTGAATAATTTAAAAAGCAAAGAAAAAGAAACTTGACATTTTGGAGACAAACCTGTGTGAGTGTTTTATTGGTACAAACGTATTTAACACTAGGGGTTTTGTACAATTTTTTGCCTTTTCTACTAGAAAACAATGTAAAGTGATTTCACAATGTGAGGAGAAAAAAAAATTGCCGCTGTGACCAAACGCACAGTCTGTTGTGCAGCAACAATGGGCTTCGATCAACTCAGTCGTGATTCAGCTGTAGAAATGCTTTTCCTTCACCTTGTTTGAGCTTTTCCTTTCTTTCCTGTTTTGATTTGCAAAAGAAAATGTCTTTTTTGTGTGAACTTGTGTTGTACTCTGTAGAAAATTACGGGTTTTACTTTAATGGTTTAAGAAAAAAAGCAAGAAGAGCCCTCGTCGCTTTTCTTACCTCATCACAGAGTTTGTGTAGTGAATTTAAAAAGAGAAAAAAAATTGTTACAAATTTGGAGCAAGGGAGTATGTTTTTCAAAAGAACCTCCTTCCTTTTTTTGTGTGTTTTTCCTTTTGTCCCAATGGGGAATCTAAATCTGTTTTAACTGCACAGACACATAGACAAAAAGTCATTTTTTATCTGCCAAGTGTGGTACCTTTGTTTATTTGTTATTAAACTGTTTAGACCCAGAATTTTTTTTTTCTTCTCAGTTTCTGAGATTAACAAAATTTGAAGGTAATGGTGCCCCTCATGGCAGAAAAAGTTTGTTAGCGCAAAGATAATTTATTAAGATTAGGAGAGGAAACTCTGGAAGGAATACTGCTATGTTAACAGCCTGATCTGTGTGTGTGTAAGTGTGTGTGTGACTGCACATGAGCGTGTATGCATATTATGTAGTTTTTGTCTCCAATATGATTATCTCTGAAGATGAAACATACTCAAGCCTGCATAATGCACGTTAATTGCCCCCACTGGTCCCAGGATTGAGATCTCCAGAGACAGAGCCTCAGACTCTGGAAGGGATAAGTAATGAGGAATGGGGAGATTTGTGGCATGTTCTACATCTGAGTAAAGCCTGAAAGGGGCCTTTGTAAAGAAAAGAATCAAAAGGTGCCTTACTTAGAGGCTATTTGACTCCTGGGCAACATTTAGGATATGGAATTATGGGCAGGTGGAGCAGTAACTTTTCTGTATCTCGAAGTCCACTTTGTTTCAGATGTTGGTATAAAAAGGAGCATAAATTTTCATGACTATTTTCCTTCACAAACAGCTTTATTATTAGGCTTATTAGACACAGAATTAAGAATTTTTTTGTCAAATAGTAATTTTGTCCTTGCAGATTATCTTCAAAAGGATTATATTCTTAGAAGACAGGAAAATGGGAGTCATTGCTGCCTGTCTAACTAGTTCAGGCTTAATTTGCTAGTCAATGAAAAACAAGATGTACTAGAAGAATGAAATGTTCAAAGCTTTATGGAAACAGCATTTTGCAAGACCATTTGGTGCAGGTTTGGGCAATAATTTGGACTAACTCTCTTGTTTATTCTCTTTCACACAGATACAGCGTAGCACATATTCACTCATTGTGTGTGACTTGGAGAGAAATCTTTGTAGGTGGTAGCTAATTTATTTCATGAAATTTAACATTCTGATTCAAAAGAGTCAAAAGAAAAAAGGACTGGGGAATCTAAGAGATATCCAACATGACCCTTCAGTAGGCTAATCTTTTGGTACAGAAAGGTCCTCAATGCACAATTACTGTGCTGAAAGTGGATCTCGCCTGTGAGATACCCCATGCAGAGGACTATCTGTGGCAAATGGAAAGTGAAACCTTGCTTTTTTTTTTTTTTTTTTTTTCCTTGTTCTCGTCCTCTGCCTCTTGGGCAGAATTTAATTACCTCTGTCCCTTCCCTGGTATTTGTTTGTATGTAATTGCCCCAGGTCAAGCTTTTTACACTTTTTCCTTGGGCTATTGAAATAATTTCCAAATTTTTCTGCTAATTTTATTAACCTGCACCAAATGGTCTTGAAAAATGCTGTTTTCATAAAGCTTCAATTATTTCATTCTTCTACTTAATACATCTTGTTTTTCCTTGACTAGCAAATTAAGCTTGAACTAGTTAGACTGGCTGGCAGCAAGTCCTCTGCCATGTGATTACCGTATATTTATACCTTATGTCTCACAACTTTTTGCAAGTACACTTGTACTATTTTATACTCTTCTCTGGGTATAATTTTTTGTATCCAAATCTTTCTACATTTTTATTATATGCAAATAATATTTTCCCGCCATCGTTATGGAAAATTCTATATTTTGTCAACGTTCATTTTCTTCTCAAAAGCCTTTTGTTATTATTTCCAAATGAATATTATGTGTGTCTCAGACAACCACAGAAAGTTTTGTTTTTGTCACATTCTACTGCTACTGTGTCAATGGCAGCATTTTGATATAGGTGGAGGGACGATCACATCAACCCCATAATTTGTGTCAGCTTCTCCTGAAGTTATCAGAAGCATACAATTTAAGTAAAAACAGTATCTTCGCTATCCAAATGATGTTCCAAGGTAAATCTCCTCAGATCCCTTCCAGTACATGTATGCTCCAAGGCCTGCTCTATGTAGAACTTTTGGAGCCATCAACGTACTGCTTGAGGTTGTTTTGAACAAAAGGTATTTGACATAAGCTCTATAAGATCAGGGACTCTTTTATTTTATTCATTGTTCTTTATCTTCTAGAGCAATAATTTGCAAAATGACTATTTATTGAATAAACTAGGACGGAGGTGAAAAGGAAAGAACAGCTCATCCTTCCAAGGGGAAGAGAGCAGTATCCCAAATCCAAATTGAAGAAAATAAACATATATCTATTCACCAGAAGAGATAGAAGGGAGACAGGGCAGAATTTCTGTGGTTCTTACTATCTCTGTCACCTCTACAGGCCAAACCAGTGAGGACCTTGGAGACTACTAATACCACTGGATTTGTAAATGAGTTCATCCTCTTGGGCTTCCCCTGCCGCTGGGAGATCCAGATCCTCCTTTTTGTGGTCTTCTCTCTCATCTACCTTCTGACCCTCCTAGGTAACACATCCATCATCTGTGCTGTGTGGTCAAGCCAGAAACTCCACACACCTATGTACATCCTACTGGCCAATTTCTCCTTCCTGGAGATCTGCTGTGTCAGTTCTGACGTGCCCATAATGGCAGCCAATCTCATCTCCCAGACACAGAGCATCTCCTGTGCTGGCTGCCTGCTCCGGTTCTACTTCTTCTCCATGTGTGCTGCAGAGTGCTTATTTCTGTCAGTGATGTCTTTTGATAGGTTTCCTGCCATTTGTAGACCTTTGCACTATCCCACCTTAATGACCCATCACGTTTGTGCTCATTTTTGTGATCTTCTGCTGGGTGGGTGGCTGTCTCTGGTTATTGACCCCTTTGACACTAATATCTCAGGTCCTCTTTTGTGGTCCAAACACTATCGACCATTTTTTCTGTGATCTGGCACCTTTGCTGGCACTGTCTTGTGCTCCAATACCTGGAATTACTCTGACTTGTGGTATCATTAGCGCTCTCATCATCTTTCTTACCTTCTTGTATATCCTTGGGACTTATTTCTGTGTTCTAAGCACAGTGCTACAGGTGCCTTCAGGCTTAGGAAGGCATAAGGCTTTCTCAACTTGTGGCTGTCACCTTGCTGTAGTGTCTCTCTTCTATGGTTCTCTTATGGTGATGTATGTTAGCCCAGGTTCTGGGGACTATCATGGGATAAAGAAATTTGTGACCTTGTTCTATACTTTGTCAACTCCATTCTTTAATCCTCTGATCTACAGTTTCCGGAACAAGGATATGAAAGAGGCACTAAAGAAATTTCTGAGGAATCGCCACACTGTCGATTGAACCAGTGTGGCGATTCCTCAGGGATCTAGAACTAGAAATACCATTTGACCCAGCCATCCCATTACTGGGTATATACCCAAAGGACTATAAATCATGCTGCTATAAAGACACATGCACACATATGTTTATCGCAGCACTATTCACAATAGCAAAGACTTGGAACCAACCCAAATGTCCAACAACGATAGACTGGATTAAGAAAATGTGGCACATATACACCATGGAATAGTATGCAGCCATAAAAAATGATGAGTTCATATCCTTTGTAGGGACATGGATGAAGCTGGAAACCATTCTCAGCAAACTATCGCAAGGACAAAAACCAAACATCGCATGTTCTCACTCATAGGTGGGAATTGAATAATGAGAACACTTGGACACAGGAAGGGGGACTTCACACACTCGGGCCTGTTGTGGGTTTGGGGGGGGAGGGATAGCAAAAAAAATTTATGTATGTGTTATAGTAGGAAATTTCTAAAGGATCCAAGAGGCAAATTTAATATAATTCATCATTAATGTTTAGAAGGATGAAAGATGATGAGACCAATGAGATCATGCTTTTTTCCATTTTATTCTACTTTTATATATTGGGAAGATAATTTGAAAGAATTAATTGGACCCATGGTTTCAGTCTTAGGAAGTTATTACTATTATGGTCCAGATATGTTTGTACCTTAAATAGATTTTTTTATTTTTGCAATTCTACTTAATATTTTCATCTATTTCTCTAAAACTGAGCTTCTGCTTACTCTTGGTTTTCAGTACATACTGTTTGGTATGTTTCAACATCCTCAGATTCTGCCTTCATTGAAGCAAGTTGTTTCATTTTTTTGAGAGCATAGCAATGGTTGAATGTATTGCAACTATACAAATAGTTTTCCACTGATCCTTCAAATTACCAGATTAAAACACACACACACATACACACCCCCAAAACTCTCAACAATTCAGGGACAATTTTAAGCTCTGCCTTTTTATTCTTTATAATTTGAAGTATAACTTCTGGGGCTAACAAGGGCCTTCAATAATATTATGTTGACTTGATTGACACCTCACATTTTGCCAATGCTAACACTTTGGCATATGTAGACACAAGAAGGTCAGGTGATGCCCAGTGCAAACCAAAGAGCCATAGAATCTGTGAGATCACTGACAATCTAGGCCTACTAAGCACTTTTTTTGTGTGTGTAGTTCTTCATTAAACTCTGGAAAAGTGTTCCTCGGGTAAGTTCTACCCTCTAATTTATTTTTTTGAGTAGCAATTTATTAATTTGCAGTACTGCACTCCATGAGGAAATCTTGTGCTAAATCTTGATTCTGGGGTAACTCCAGCACTGACTTTACTACCAAAGCGTAGTTAAATATTTGCAGCATTCTGCTGGATATTTTTACATGACGATCTATTTCAAATTCAAATGTCTAATCCTAAATTTGTTAATCTCCTTTTAAGTTAGCTCTAGCCATCCTTATTTTCTCATGGATCTGTTGATTTATAGCATGAACTTGAAATCTTGACAGTAGAATTCCTTACCATCTCATTCCCACTTCTAATCTGTCATTAAACAGATTAGGCATCTTCCCTGGGATCATTTGTCATCTTTACGCTCGTCTTTTCTGTGCAGGTTCCTAGCACTCCATATCTGTGATGGCATAATCACTTCATAAATGGTCTGTCTCTGTTATCTCCCATGTCAAATTCCAGAATTATGTTCTTGAACCTCCATCACTTATTTTCTCTCTACCTAAACACAGGAAAAAAACCCAAATTCTTTAGCTTGTAAATGTTTTTAGGTTCTGAATTTCTTCTTAAACTTTATTTTTACCTTAATATATGTCTCATCACTCCCATTTGACTCACTCTCTCTAATTCACAGAGTATAATCTTAGTTTTACAACCTGAGCTTAAAATTGTTCTATTCATACCTTGCCCATGTTTAGATGCCTCATACGAAACTTTCCTTGCCCACTACAGTATATCATAATGTTATTTTCTAAGTTCATTGCCTTTTGAGTTTTGCCAAATATTTACTCAAAATTGGTCTGCCTTTTGGGTATCTATTACAGCATTGTTTGTGCTATTTTTTACTTTCCTACCAGTTAGAATATAAGTTTCTTTAGGGCAGGAAATATGATCTTTTTACTGCTCCTGAATGGCTTCTGCAATAGTAATAGCTCAATTATTGAGTTAACAAGGTTATTCGACAAACATTTATTGAGCTCCTATTATGTATTAGGCATTATCTGAGCACTGAAGCTATAGCAGTGATACCTATTCCCATGCAGTTTATATTACAGTATGGGAAGACAGGGATCAAGAAATAGAGAAATAAATATGTAGGATACAATATTTCCTGTGGTGATACATTCTTTGAAGAAGGGCAAAGCAGATGATGGGAATAGATACTAGTGAGAGTGGGGATGCTCTTTTAAATAGAATAGTCTGGGAAGGCTTCATTTAAGCTAAATTTTGAGGAGACCTATAGGAAGTGAGGGAGTTCTGTCCTTCCTATTTCAAGTTTACGGTGAGCAGGAAAGCAAGGCAATCATCAAAATGAGTGTGGAAATGCTCTAACAAGTACACTTAGAGATCCAAATCCAAATGGTGGCTATTAAGAAAGGCAAGAAGTTTGGTTTAAAAATGTGCCTGAAGATGCACCATTGAAAAATGGCAGCAGTGTGCAGGGACAATGCCACCTAACCCGCGTTCAGAGCGAAGCCACCTGGTCGGCCACCGGCAGCTTGGGGAAGAAGGGCATGTGGCGCGCCCACTCCACCTTGCTGAAGAGCAGCCGTGAAATTTTTAATAATATTTTTATTTAACCCAACTCACCCAAAATAGTATTTCAACATGGAATTAGTATAAACACTATTAATGAGATGTTTACATTCTTTCATCCCACCAAGTGTTCAAAACTGGTATTTGATTTTATACTTGGAGCACATCTTAATTAGGACTAGTCGCTTTGCAGGTGCTCAGTAACCACATGTGGGTCGTGGCTATTGTATTGGACAGTACAGGTTAAAGAGAGGTCTAAGGACTAAATACAGACCTCAAATAATATTGAGGTTAAACAAATACTAAATTGACTTTATTTTTCAGAATGAAGTTTCTTTGCCTGGAGAGAACAAGCATGCTCTTATTTCACGTATTTTCCTAATTGAAATCCTGATTTTGGCAGGGGAAAGAACCCACTGAGTGTGCTACATGTTGGAACTAGTGACCTTACACATCCATGCTCCATCTCCTGGGAAAGTCTTTCCTGAAGAATTGTATCTTCAGTCTGTTTGTCCTGATTTGTCCCAAACTGACAGAAGTACCTGCAGAGCTGGCTAAAATTTCCCTTTCAGACATTGCTGTTTAGGTGAGAGTACAGAGTGGTTGGGAGGGTCAATCAGTTGTAGAACAATACTTAGGTATAATCCAATTTATATACCCACTCAAAACCCAGAGATTTTGCTTCTATATGTACAGAAAGAGGACTTAGAAATACATCCACCAAACTAAACACGTTGCTGAGGAGGCATGTGTGTGTGTAGAGGTGTGGAGATGTGAAAATTTTCACTATTTTATAGTTTTTTTCTTTACAACGACTATTCACTATAAAATATATGATTTATTTGTATAATTAAAAAGTAGACAAAATGGAATACAATTCATTTCAGTGTAGCTAAGCAAGCCCCAGTTAGTAAAACTTTTATGTTTTTATTTACACATTTAGACTAAAAACATACTTTAAAATATTTCAATTTTATATATGAACATCTTTTTCAAGCACAGTGAGAGCTTAGATACAAGTGAGGATTTTAGTTATTCAGTTAATTATGGTTCGTTGGCCCCCTCCCCCAAGTCTAAGAATTTTTGGCTTAAAGAGAAAGAGTAAGTGAAGAATCCTCTATATCCATTCTTCACTAGTTCTAAGAAGGATGAAAGGCAAGTGCACAACACTCTCACTGCAGCTTACAGAGATTTTCCAGATGATAATTTATTTACCTTTAGTTTAACTTTTTCTCTCAGAACTCCAGATAATGCAGTAGTAACTTATAAGCAGCACAGTATCTTCTAACAGCATTCATCATGAGATAGACAAGTCCTCAACTACCCGAGACAGTGTTTTACCCCTTACTCATCCTGCTCCCCTTTCACTGCTGTTGCATAGGTGGATAATTTGATTTCCACCCTGTGTAATCTCTAGAGGAAACATAGCTCAGAGATATGGAATAGTCAAAATGAATGGGTTGTTTGAGTTATTTCTCTCTCTCTCTCGCTCTCTGTGTGTGTGTGTGTGTGTGTGTGTGTGTGTGTGTGTGTGTGTGTGTGTGTGTTTGCTGTCCAGTATCTCCATCCCTTTTTATGTTTGAGGTAATCCCAATATTATCAGGCTTGGAGCTTCTATTTATGTAATTGTTGTTTATATTGCCAGATATTAGCTCTCCTAGCTTCCCTTGCACTTAAAGTTGTAGGAATGTACTCTTGCCTTTACCAGATACAGCTATACCAGGCTTTGAATCAAGAAGCAGAAGTAGGAAGAGCAACAATGTTGAAATATTGGCATAAGAAATGACAATGAACAGGCTGGGCGCAGTGGCTCGCGCCTGTAATCCCAGCACTTTGGGAGGCCAAGGTGGGCGGATCACGAAGTCAAGAGACCAAGACCATCCTGGCTAACACGGCGAAACCCCGTCTCTAGTAAAAATACAAAAAAATTAGCCGGGCGTGGTGGCTGGCACCCGTAGTCCCAGCTACTCAGGAGGCTGAGGCAGGAGAAAGGTGTGAACTGGGAGGCGGAGCTTGCAGTGAGCCGAGATCGCACCGCTGCACTCCAGCCTGAGACGGAGCAAGACTCCGTCTCAATTAAAAAAAAAAAAAAAAAAGACAAGAAGGTAGCACACTTGTTGCAGAAAAGACAAGTTCCTAGAACAGAATGACAGTGGTGCTCATGTAGCATCTTGGTGGCCTATAGCACAGCCATGACTGCAGTCATGATTTTTCATCATCAGTTCTGCATGGTGGTTTGCATATGTATCTTTGAATTTGAGCCTCAACTCTGGCTCTTCACCTTTCATTGGTTCTGTGAGATTCCTGCTACTCCATCAATAAATCCTTTTTCATTTACATAATCAGCTAGAGTCAGCTTTTATTGGATGTAAGTGAGAACACTGGCAGAATTATACTCTAATAGAGTTATCTCAGGTGGGTATAGTCTCTACAATCTGCAGAGGGCAAGAAGAACTAACGCTTTGGCATTGCAGGTTGCTCTGAATTCTCCCTTAGCTCCACAGTGGTCTATGAAGCTTTATCCCTTAACATATTTTATTGAAGAAAATATTCCAAAAGTCAAAATAACTTGGAAGAGGGTTTTAAGATGTCTGTGTGTGTCTGGATTTTTTTCACTTAGCATAATGTTCTACAGGTTCATCCACATCGTCACTAATGGAAGAATTTCTCTATTTTTTAAGGGCCAAATAGTATTCCACTGTGTGTATATATCACATTTTGTGTATCTACTCATCTGATGACAAATACCTAGGTTGCTTCCGTGTCTTGGTTATTGTGAATAATGCTGCAATGAATTTGGAAGTACAGATATCTCTTTGACATATTGATTTCAATTTCTTTGGATATATGCCCAGAAGGGAAATTGCTTAATCATATGGTAATTCTATTTTAAGTGTTTTGTGGAACTTCTATACTGTTTTCCACGGTTATATTAATTTACATTTCCACCAACAGTGCACAAATGTTTACTTTTCTCTGCACCCTCAGCTATACTTATCTTTCATCTTTTTGTGATAGCCATTCTAACAGATATGAGGTGATACTTCATTCAGTTGAACTCTTAAAAGTAGAGAGTAGAATGGTGGTTAACTAAGGCTGGAGGGAAGAGGCGGCTGAGGGGAGGAGAGATGTTGATCAAAGGATACAACAATTCAGTTTGATGGAAGGAATAAGATTTAGTGATCTGTTTCATAGAATGGTGACTATAATAAATAATAATGCACCACATATTTAGAAACTACTAAAAGAGTGGATTTCAAATGTTTTAACCACAAAAAATAAGTATAGGAGATGATGAATTTATTAATTAGCTTGATTTAATCATTTCACAATGTAAATGATTATCAAAACATCACATTGTATCCCATAAATATATAATTATCATGTGTTCATTAGAAATAAAATTTAACAAATAATAAAAGAGGTATATGTTCACAGAAAAAACTTGAATATGAAGTCTAATGTAGACTGGATATTTTTAGTCAAATCATTAACTTTCTCTTCAACATATTGGAGACAACATCACAAACACCTCTCTTTCCTATCCCCCTAATTTTTGTGCCTTAGTTAAAAATATGAAAATTTCAGAGTGTTGGCAGGTGATCAGGTTAAGTAAAGAAGTTTATGTTAAGTGGTGACTTTTTTAAATTTTTTATTTATTTTTTATTTATATGTATTTTTTATTATACTTTAAGTTCTAGGGTACATGTGCACAATGTGCAGGTTTGTTACATATGTATACATGTGCCATGTTGGTGTGCTGCACCCATTAACTCGTCATTTACATTAGGTATATCTCCTAAAGCTATCCCTCCCTCCTCTCCCCACCCCACAACAGGCCCCGGTGTGTGATGTTCCCCTTCCTGTGTCCAAGTGTTCTCATTGTTCAATTCCCACCTACGAGTGAGAACATGCGGTGTTTGTTTTTTTGTCCTTGAGATAGTTTGCTGAGAATGATGGTTTCCAGCTTCATCCATGTCCCTACAAAGGACATGAACTCAAACATTTTTTATGGCTGCATAGTATTCCATGGTGTATATGCACCACATTTTCTTAATCCAGGTGGTGACTGCTTTAAGGTAGCTTATATTTTGGTTGATAGAGTTGATTCCCTGGTATCCTATGTTTATTTTCTGTAACAGTAGATGTTTCTTCACTATAAGCTCAAAGTATAGAAGCCCAGGTTTGAGTAAGAAATATTTAATTATTTGGCATATTTGAATGTATGCATGCCCTTCTATGCATTCTCTTCAGAGCTGGAACAGGAATTTCCCTTAAGAATCTATACCATTTCTAGTTTTTATTTGCTGCGCACCATGAACACCTTACCAAGACTTAGTAATAAGGAAAATACAAATTAAAAAACATTCTTGTTTCAGTGACGGATTCTCGTTCTTTGATATTATAGATAAAGCAATTTAATTTTTGTGAGTACAGTGAGTAGATGCTGTTTTTCATTATAGAAAAACCTATAGTTGGCAAGGAAAAAACAGTTGATAAATTTAAAACACATTTAAGATACATAAAGTTGCATTAGGATAAAGCCAAAATACAAATTAGAAACATGGGTCTTAGCTTTGTACATACCAACTGAATTACATATAGTTTTAGGACTTAAAAAATCTCCAAAATGGAAAAATGATACATAGATGAATAAAAATTGTACAGATCTTACCTACGATGAAACTTAGGACTTTGTATACTTTTTGCTTTGAGATAGGATCAGGGCTCTTTGTGTGTAATGAGTCACGCTTTTATGAGTAAGAAGCCAAGTGCTCAGACATCACCAGAAAATAGTTTTTTTTAAAATGAGAGAAATTTTGCATTTCTTATGGAATAATTGTAGAAGAATGTATATCATTTCAGTGTGTTCCAAGATATTTCTTTTGATGGCACTCCCAGCACTTTTTTAAGGGCATCTGTCATATCTTTGTTCCAGAGACTGTAGGTCAGGGGATTAAAGAATGGGGTTGCTGTGCAGTAAAACAATGTCACAAATTTCTGTGTCCCAGGGCGGCTCCTGGAGCCTGGACTCACATACATCACCATGACTGAGCCATAGAAGAAAGAAACAACCAAGAAATGGGAAGCACATGTAGAGAAAGCTTTGTTCCTGCCTGAGCCAGCTGGGACCCACAGAACAGCTCGCAAAACTAAGATATGGGACCCAAGAATGTAGAGGAAGGTGATGAAGATGATGAGAGAGCTTACTGTAGCACAAGTCAGAGTAGTTTTGGGAACTGGGGCACAGGACAGTGCCAGCAATGGTCCCAGGTTACAGAAAAAATGGTCAGTGATGTTAGGGCCACAGAAAGGCACTCGGGACATAAGCACTGCAGGCATCAGTATGGATAGAAAACCACCTGCCCTGCAGAAGGCCACTAATCGGACACACAGGTGGTGAGTCATGACTGTGGGATAATGCAAAGGTCGACAGATGGTAAGGAACCGATCAAAGGACATCACAGACAGAAAGTAGCCTTCTGCAGCACACATGGAGAAGTAGAAGAACTGGAGCAGGCAGCCAGCATAGGAGATGCTCTTGATATGGGAGATGAGATTGGCCAACATTTTGGGACATCAGAACTAATGCAGCAGATCTCCAGGAAAGAGAAATTAGCCAAGAGGATGTACATAGGTGTGTGGAGTTTCTGGCTTGACCACACAGCGCAGATGATGGATGTGTTACCCATGAGGGTCAGAAGGTAGATGAGGGAGAAGACCACAAAGAGGAGGATCTTGGTCTCCCTGCAGCAGGCAGGGGAAGCCCAGGAGGATAAATTCACTCACAGGCCCAGAAATGTTATTGGCTTCTATGACACTCATTCTTCTAATCTATGAAGGAAATGAACGATAGGGACCACTACAATAACCATTTTCTCTCTCTTAAAGTGTTATATTTATTTCTTTTGACTCCAAGACAATCTTTTAATGCACTTTTGTGAAAAGTTCCATATAGTTCTCAATTCAATAACTCACCTCCCATCTTTGTCTTAGTTCAATGAAATCAGGGTTATGGGAGAATGTGGCTCAACATGTTACTACGTGATCCCACAGCCTCCACTATATCATATCTCTGTTTTTCAGAGTGTAAGTTTCATTGACATCACATAACATAGGGTCCAAACGACTTTCTCTATTTGCATTTAAATTAATTCTGCTTTGATGTAATGTTTTGTAATACACATATTCAAATATTTATACATATAATTTCTCCCTATTAGAAAATTTTGTATTGTATTTTGAAAAATTCTAAGAAAAATCAGTTTAAACATAATCTAAAATTGAATTAGGTCAGTACAAAAAGAGAACCTCATTATGTTGTCAATAAATTATGTTTTTAGGAGATCTGTCCTGGATAGTTCTGTTGACTGAAGTAGGGTACTGAGGATGCTGCCACAGATTTCATGCTAGCACGTGTTTGTTTGCTCCGTATAGTGGCATTTAACTTCTATTTGCTGAGCAACAGCTAATTTGACACAGAAAAGTTGCCTTCAACCCTTTACTAGGAAGATCTTGCTCTATGATAGAAAAACAGCAAGAGGCAGATGGAAAAACATCTATTTCCTTAGCTCAGATGCCTTCTCATCTTGTTACTATACTGGTGATGAATTATCTTATATTAAAAAATAAACCATAAATTTAACTTTAAAAATGTGAGAGGAATACACCAGTGTAGAATGTTAGTGTCAGAAAGGACCTCTAGTCTTATTAAGCTCAATTTCCTCGTATCACAGAAACTGAGACCAGAGAGGTTAGAATGATCCAAAGTTATGTTGGCTGTTAGAAGAAAGAGGCCTAAAACTTAGGTGTTCATATATTCAGTTCAGACTTTTTCTCATAAGCCTCTGCTATTGTGGGACCCTGCTTTTTTTGTCAGCTCAGATGGTTGCAAAAGTATATTGTGTATGTATTATACTGTTCCTTCCTTTGAATTAGATCCCTATTTATAATAAAGGAGGACATTAACCAGGTTACTAACCAAAGCTGACAATTGCTACATCATATCCCCTATTCACCTTTGACCTGCCCTTTGCCCTAATTCTTGGCATCATTTATGGCATAAATCTACTTTTGGACACTTTCTTTAAAGAACATTTGACTTCTAAGATAGTAAGCATAACAACAACCACTGTCATGTATTAAATGTTTATTGTGACAGTTACATAATGTTCATTATCTCATTAAATCCTCCTCCCCTCTCCTTTCCAGTTTTAGAGTAGAAAAACACTCTCACATGTTTAAATGTACCATTTGAATTCTATTGTGCTTCTAAATACATTGAATCTAAAATTCAAGTTTTTATTCTGTCCAGCTTTCAGCTATGTATATAATGTGCTAGCTGTTTTCTCTCATTGCATCTGATTCCATTTGTTCACATGTAACTTGCTTCTATCTAATTTTTGCTTGTGAATTTGAAAGATTTGCCTCTGGACATCTGTGTTAGGAACTGAGGTTATATATCATAGGAAAATATTATTTACATATTTCTTATAGATTATGTAGTTTACATTAGATACATCACCTGAGGCCAGGTTTGTGTCCTTCCCTTCCATGCAGCGAGTCCTCCAGGCCCCAGGTAGGTCTAGAGGTGTTGTCTGGTACCCAGGGACTGGAGTCAAAAACCTTAGACGTCTACCTGGTATTCTATTATACTGCAACTGAGCTGGCCCTCAAGCCACAAGACACAGCCCTTCCCACTCTTCCCTCTTCTTTCCACAGGCAGAGGAGAATGACCCTGTGGCCACCACCATCACAGGCCTATGGTGAGTAACTGCCACACTCCCACCTGTGTGTACTTAAGGCCCACAGGCTCTTCAGTCAGCTTGTGGTGAATGCTGCTATGCCTGGGAATCACCTTTCATGGACATGGGCTCCCCTCTGGCCCAGAGAAGCTCCAGAAATGCCATAAAAGAGCCATGAGCTAGAATAGGGAACCTCAAGAGCCCCCTTGATGCACTATGCCCATTTGACTGTGCTGGTACTTAAGGTACAAGACAAAGTCCCCTTGACCTTTCTCTTTGCTTCTCTCAAGCAGAAGGAGTCTGTCACTGTAGTCACCACAGCTGGGAATGTGCTAGGTCTCACCTGAAGCTAGTATGTCTCGAGTCTCACCCAAGGCATATGGCATACTATTTGGGTGTTGCTTCTCATTATTCAGGGCCCAAGGGCTCTTTAGTCAATAGGTGATGGGTCTTGCCAGGACTGGTTCTTTCCTTCAAGGCAGCAGGTTCCCTTCTAGCCCAGGGTGTGTCTAGAAATGTCATCTCGGAGCTAGGGCCTGGAATGGTGCCTCATGACGGACCAATATTCTTTCTTACTGTAATGAGCTGGGATCTAAGATGCAAGACAAACATCATCTTTACTCTTCGCTTTCTTTTATTCAAGCAGAAGTAAAGGATCTCTTTTGGAGCCACGAGCTGTGCTGCTGGGGTTAGGGGAGGTGTGGGCAAGGACTCTCTTAGCTGCCCCAGCTGTTGTTTCAGTAAGTCATGTGTTCCCAAGTCCATTGGCTCCAAGCCCAGCTCAGCACCAGGACTTGCTGTCCTTGTGGCCTAGACTGCCTGTCAAATTTATTTAGGACCCTAGAGTACTCCAGCTCATGGCGGCAAGGCTTGCCAGAACTCAAGCTCCATCTGCTGGAGTGGGCAAATTGCCCTCTGGCTGGACCTTGTCTAAAGGCTCCCTCTGTGGGTCTGTGTCAGCTGAGTTCAGCACAGTTTTGCTTTCCACTGTGATAGGGCAGCACTGAGTTCAATGCAAAGTCTCACGATTGCTGCACTTTCCCTCTCCCAAACACACATTTCTCTGTGCCATGTGGCTGCTGTAGTGGGGATGAGGGAGAGTTGGCATCAACAATTCACGGCTCTCTTTCTGACTCTCTTTAGTGCCTCTTTCAATGATACGGAGATAAAACCAGGTATTGTGAGTGCTCATATTATTTTTGGTTCTTATGAAGGTGCTGTGTTTGTGTAGACAGTTGGTACATTTGGTGTTCCTGTGGGAGGACAATTGATGGAGCCTTCTATTCCACCATTTTGTTCCAGCCACTTCCAAATGCTTTTTCTTTTTCTTATTTATTTATTTTTGAGATGGAGTCTCACTCTGTCACGAGGCTGGAGTGCAGTGGTGCAATCTCCGCTCACTGCATCCTCCACCTCCCAGGTTCAAGCAATTCTCTTGCCTTAGCCTCCTGAGTAGCTGGGGTTACAGGTGCACACCACCACACCCAGCCAATTTTTGTATTTTTATTAGACATGGCGTTTCACCATGTTGGCCAGGATGGTCTCGATCTCTTGACATCGTGATCTGCCCACTTTGGCCTCCCAAAGTGCTGAGATTACAGGCGTGAACCACTGCACCCGGCCCCAAATGCTTTTTCTGAATCTATGGAGATTATATGTTTTTAGTATTTTTGTTAATGTGGTGTACTACATTTATTGATTTGCATATGTTGAATCATCCCTGCATCTCAAGGATAAATCTCTCTTGATCATGAGGTGTGATACTTTTAATGTGCTGTTGAATTCTGTTTGTGAGTATTTAAGTTTGTTGAGAATTTTTGCATCTTTATTCATCAAGAATATTGACCTGTAATTTTCTTATCTTATAAAGTCTTTGGCTTTGATATCACAGAAATACTAGCCTCATTTAATGAGTTTGGAAATGTGGTTTTTCTTCAATAATTTGGAAGAGTATATAAAGAACTGGTATTTTTAAAAAATGTTTGGTGGCATTTATTAACAAAGCCATCTCTTCCTGAGCTTCTTTGCTGAGAGGTTTTTAATCAGTTTTTTATTGGTGATTCAATCTTCTTATTCACTATTGGTCTGTTTAAATTTTCGGTTTCTTCATGATTCAGTCATAGGAGGGTGTACATTTCCAGAAATTTATCATTTCTTCTTGGCCTTCCAATTTATTGTCAAATAATTGTTTATAGTAATCCCTTATGATCATTTGTATTTTTATGGCATGAGTTGTATTGTTTCTTCTTTCATTTCTGATTTTATTTATTTGAGTCTTCTCTATTTTTTCTTGGTTAGTCTAGCTAAGATTTGCCAACATTATTTTATATTTCATCGATTATTTCTATTGTTTTCCTATTCTGTATTTGATTTATTTAATTTCTGTTCTAATCTCTGTTATTTAATTCCTTTGGTAAATTTGGGCTTAATTTGTTCCTTTTTACTTCCTTGAAGTTTAAAGTAAGGTGGGTTTGTTTTTGGACATTTTTCTTATGTTTAGAGTAGATGTTTATTGCTATACTGCCTCAATACCACTTTAGCTGCATCCATAAGTTTTGTTATTTTGCGTTTTTGGTCTTTTTTTATAGGTAGATACATTCTAATTTCCCTCGATATCTTTTTGACATAATGGTTTTTCAAGAGTGTATTGATTTCCACATATTTGTGAATTTTCTAGTTTTGCTTGTTATTGATCTTAGTTTTATATCATTATAGATAGAAAAGATACTTTTCCTACTTACATAATTTCTATATTCTTAAATTTACTTGTGCTTGTTATGTGGCCTAACAGATGACCTATCCTGAAAAATGTTATATAGTCACTTGAGAAGAATGTGTATTCTGCTGTCACTGGATAGTTCTGTACATGTCTATGAGGTCCTTTTGTTTTATAGGATGTTTAAGATTGCTATTTCCCTACTGGTTTTCTGCTAGAGATTCATTCCCATTATTGAAAGTGGCGTAATGTTGTGTCTCATTGTTATTTTATTGCTGTCTATTTCTCCCTTCAAATCTGTCAATGTTTGCCTTATATATAGTTAGGTACTCTGATCTTGGGTGCCTATACATTTATAGTTGTTCTAACATCCTGATAATTGACCTTTTTATCATTATATAATGACCTTTTTTATTTCATGTGACAGTTTTTAACCTAAAGTCTATTTGGCCTGGTATAAATTTAGCCACTCCTGCTGTCTTTTCGTTATGATTTGCATGGAATATTTTTTTCCCTCCCTTCACTTTCAGCCTTTGGGCATCCTTGAATCTATAGTCTCTTGTTGACAGCCTATAGTTTGATTTTATTTTTTAATGCATTTGGACGTTCTTTGTCTTTTGACTGGGGAATTTTTAATCCATTTACAGTCAGCTGGATGTAGGTTCCACATCCACAGAGTCAACCAACCATGCATAAAAAAAATCACACACCCCCATAAAAATAACAATGATAAAAAATGGAATAATAAAAGTAATGCAAACTAGATGGTGTAACAGGTATTTATATACTGTTTACATTCTATTAGATATGATAAGTAATCTAGAGATGGTTTAAAGTATAGGGGATGGTGTGCATGGGTTATATGCAAATACTATATCACTTAATATAAAGGACTTTAGCATCCATAAATTTTGGAATCCACAGGCGATCTTGAAACCCATCTTTCATGGATACTGTGGGACAACTGTATTTACAAAGTTGTATTAATAAGTAAGGACTTGCTATGGCACTTCATTTTATTTTTTCTGTCTGTGTTATAATTCTTCTTTCTTTTTTCTCTTGCTGTTTTCTTTTGTGTTCATTGATATTTTTGTATTGATATGTATTTATTTCCTTTTCTTTTTCTTTTGTATATTTTCTGTAGTATTTTATTTTTTTGGTTACCTTGGGGCTTATGTAAAACATCATATATATGGAGGCAAAGTTTATTCTAAGCTAATAACAACTCAACTTTAATCACATAAAAAATTATGCACTTCTCCCACTTTGTTATTGATGTCACAATTACATCTTTTATATGTGTATATCTACTATTATACTTCTGTAGTTATAGTAATTTCTACTTTGTTGTCTTTTGACTTTCATATTAGAAAAAGGTGCACCACCATTACAATGTTGCACAATTTTGTATTTGTTTAAATAATTAGCTTTTCCAGTAAGTTTTATATTTTAATATGCTTAGTTATGCTTAGTTTTGCTATTTAGTATTATTTTGTTTGAGTTAAAGGGCTCACCTGTCATTTATTTTATGACAAATCTAGTGGTGATGAAGTTGTCTCTCTCAGCTTTTGCTTGAGAAAGTCTTTATCTATTCTTCATTTTTGAAGAAAATTTTTTTCCAGAAATTGCATTCTTGGTTGAGAATTTCTCTCTTTCAGCATTGTCTTGCTTCTTCAAAATTCACTCTTTTTGACTTTTGACATATAATTATAATATGTCTTTGTGTGGACTTCCCTTGAATTTGTTTTATTTCAGTTCCATTTGGCCTCATGTATCTGTATGTCCTTTTTCTTCTACAGATTTGGCAAGTTTTTAGCCAGCACTGTACTTTCCTTCTTATTTTTCTCTTCTCCATCTGGAACTTTTGTGATCAGTATATTATTTCACTTTATGATGTCCCTTAAGTCCGTAGGTTCATTTGCTCTTTTTTATTCTTTTTTCTTTTGCTCCTTTGTCTATGTAATTTGAAATGACTGGTGTCTGGATTAGCTGATTCCTTCTTCTGTTTGATCAAGTCTACTTGTGAACACCCCCTAGTGATTTTTTTTATTTCCGTCATAGAATTCTTAGCTCCAGAATTTCTAATTGTTTCTTGTAAAATTTCTATATCTTTACTTCAATATTTTTATCTTGCTCATCTATCATTGTTGTGATTTCATTTGTGTCTCAGTGTTCTCTTGTGGCATGCTGAATTATCATGGAGCCCCAGAGCTCTCCTTTCCTCATGTGTGCTGCTTCTTTCATATGTGATAACTATAATGAACTTTAACAAATCTCAAATTCGAGTACATTCCCAATCACCTTCTAAAAGTAACCTCCTAACCTCCACTGATTCCTCAGATGTGGTAGTTTGAAAGTTGTTCCCATAGATTTCAACTACAGGCCAACCAGAGGGGACCCATGGCCACTAGAATGGTCCAGTGACCTTTATACTTCAGTGTGTGTAAAAATCACCTGGGATCCTATTTAACATTCAAGTTTCTGAGCCTTCCCCTAGCCAGTAGATTTTATATACAAAATGTGAGGGAACCATTACCCTTTTCAAGTGATTAAAAAAAATCAGAGGTGAAGCAATTAGATTTGGCTACATTTAATTTGATGTTTTATCTTTCAAGAGATTGGGATGGTTCTAGTGAAAATTATAGCTAATCTGAATATGGCTTCTAACTGTTACTGGGTGCTTATGTCTTTTCTTTACTCTGATCAACAATATTGGGCAGGTGTAGTGGCTCACGCCCATAATCCCAGCACTTTGAGAAGCCAAGGCGGGAGGTTCACTTGAGCCCAGGAGTTTGAGACCAGCCTGGACAACCTGGGGAGACCTCCATCTCTGCAAAATAAAACAAACAAACAGACAGACATAAAAACACCTAGCTGGGCGTGTTGGTATACACCTTTGGTCCCAGCTACTTGGGAAGCTGAGGTAGGAGGATTGCTTGAGCCACAAGGTCAATGCTCCAGTGAGCCGTGATTGTGTCACTGCACTCTAGCCTGGAAAACAGAGCAAGACCCTGTCTCAAAAAACAAACAGCATACGTCTTATTGTTTTGTTCGCTTGTTTCTGAAATAATCTCGTTAGTAAAGCACTATACTTGATAAACAGTCTGATTTAATGAATAAGGATTTAAACTTTAGATTTTGGAGAGACAAGATTAACTAACCGTTGATCACAAGGAGCACACTGTGCAACAAGCTACTCTGATAGGACAAAAGTCCTAGGAGGGCTATATAAGCAAAATCTCATTCAAGGACTGAACTTTAAGCCCTATTCACTTTTAGCTAATCAAGTGATGGGCAAGTTGACATCTATAGGGAAGAGAGAAGAGGATGTGTTTCTGAGCTTTCCTTCTTCAGTCAGGCAACTCTGTGATTCATTAATTTCCTCCCTTCCTTCTCCACACCCTGGCATGTTGGCCCATAGCCACAAGGTGGCAGGATAACCAGTAACATTTTATTCAAGCCAACTGAAGCCCTGCGGGGGCTTTGAAGTTCACACACACTGTCCACCTTCCACATACTGATGCTGGGAGCAATTTAGAGCAAACATCATCCAGAGTCATATTACTAGATGACTGGATTGCTTCTTTTGTCCCTCAATCCTGCTCTCCTTTCAGTGCTAACTCAAGAAAACACTAAGTTTACACTTTGCAGGAGCCCCTGGAATAGTTAAAGCTTTAAACCATTTCACATCCAACTCAATGATCTGTTACAAAAAATACCTGTTGATTTTCTGTTATTTTAATGGATACCTAGCTTCCTTTTATAAATTGGCATTACAATAGTCTGGTATTAGTATTGATCTGGAATCTATGTGCTTCCAGATCAGTCCCATTCCTTTTACTTTTAGAATAAGACAAAATGTAGCTCAGACACCATTCTTCCATGAAACCACATCTCTCTAAGAAGATGCTGGAAAGTCAGTCTTTCTCAAAAAGTAGTTTTCCCCTCAAGTTTCAACACATTACTCCACTGTAAGTTTAGACAGTATAAATATGTATAAAATATATATATATAATATATATATATTTTAGTATAATATTATGCTTCAGCTTTTCCTGCATGTTTTTCTTTCTTTTCTCTTACACCCTTCTCTGTGATCTCATCTGACAATCACTACCATGGCAACCAAGCCTCTGTGACGTTCCAGCAAGCTCATTGTCTTCTCTTCACTAAACTTTAGTTAGTAGTTGGTCCCAGTCAGTAACACTCTGGGAGGGCTCAGGCCACATCACGAAATGTGACAGGATAGCCTTGAACTCATCAATTGCTGGGTAAGAAAGAATTTTAATGCAATGGCAAACAACCAATCAAACAAGCAAACAAAAACAATAAACCCTTCCTTGAGGACCAAGAAGACATTGATTAGCTAACCTAAGAGCTCCAGGTGGAGACCTAGGTCCTGATTGGGTTTCTGAATTTGACCACTAGGCAGAAAACTAGCACCCAAAACCAGTTGGAATAAAATTACCCACCTACAGTGGAGCCAAGGCCCCCAGATCCTTTTTGTCAGGTAAGAATAGGTTGAAATAACCTGGCTGGTTGTGGGACAGGCCCCCTCTGTGAGTGGTGCAGTTAAGGACACCCAGACTGCCCTTTCACTCTGCTTTCCCTGGGGTAATGTGTATGGCTCCTAGTCTTTCACGTTCTCTTCTGTAATTCGGGAGGAGGAAGAGAAGATACTCACTGCACATATTGTGTCAGTTAATACTAATCTGAGAGCAATAATTTATGATCTTTTGAGGTGAGGTTTGATTTTTACCACTGTGCTGTTCCTGTCTCCTAATATGTTGTATCAGATTGTAACTAAGTTGAGGTGAGAATTAATTGAGGACTATATATTTGAGCCTCCTTAGAATCTCACCCACCTTTGAGATAACTTCATGTTTTAGGTTTTCTCAAGTCAGAGTGTTGAGTCCTTAAATCAGTATATGCTGGGCAGTGAAAAAACACTGGTACACTTTGATTGCCTAAGCTTAGTGAACAGCAGGGGCGGTGGGAGGCAGGCCTTTTTAACACCTGTCTTTGCTGAGTTTCATGCTGAAAAAGCCTTGAGGCTCAGACTCAGCCCACAGGTCTCTGCAATCCCTCCATCTCCCTTCTGCCCTTTCCATGCATAGCCTTCACAGCAGTTTTTTGTGAATTATTTATTTTTTTGAGCTCTCTCTTAAGGTTAATTTTTCTTAAGAAATATTTACTCTCAATATTATAAAGGTGTAGAAGTTTATTGTAGAGAAATGTGGGAAAACATATTGGCAAAAAGAATATAAGGATAAAACCATTTAAGGTTTCCCCTTCCATCTATACTTATATTTATAGTTGGGCTCTAATGGCATTTAAATGCAAAATGTAATATACATGTTTATTTATATTTTTAAAATATTAATAATTGATTAGTTAATTCAACAATAATAATTGTTAACATTCCAGACACTACTATAAATACTCATGAATACAGCAGTGAACAAAATGGATAAAAATTCCTGACTTGTGGAAGTTATATTGTAATGGGGGAAGACGGGGTAAATAAACTATGTGGCATGCTTGGGGGGCGATGAGTAAAGATGGAGAAAAATTAGAAGGTTCAGGTCAATAGGAAGTGTGTGTTGGAGGTGACAGGTGGCAGGTGTACATTTTTCCCTCAGCTTAATTAAGGTTTAATTTGAAAACATTGTACATATTTATGGTATACAAGGTGATATTTTGATATATGTGTACATTGCAAAATGATTAAATCAAACTGATTAACATATCTGTCACCTCACATGCTTGCCATTTTATTGTTGTGAGAACATTTAAGATCAACTCTCTTAGCAATTTTCAAGTATTCTTTTGGCCCTTAGTATCTGTGGTTCTGCATCTGCAGATTCAATCAATCACAGATGGAAAATATTTAGAAAAAAATAAAAATAACAATATGACAAAAAATAATTCAAATATATAGTATAACAACTATTTACGTAGCATTTACATTGTCTTAGCTACTATAAGAAATGTAGACATTATTTAAACTACATGGAAGGATGTGTGTAAGTTATATGCAAATACTGCACCATTTTATATGAGGCGGTTGAGCATCTGCTGATTTTGTTGTCTCCAGGGTGAGCTGGAACTAGTCTCCCCTAGATATAAAGAGACAACTGAACAATATGTTATTATTAATTACAGTCACCATGCTATACAGTACATCTCCAGATCTTATTGATCTTGTTTAGCTGAGACTTTGAACTCTTTAACCAATATCTCCCCATCCCCACTGGGTGTAATTTTCAATAGCTAGTCAGGGAAGGCCTCACTGAGAAGGTGATATTTGAGAAAAGACTTGAAGGAAGTGTTGGGGCAAGAAATATAAATATCTAGCAAAAGAGCATTACAGGCAGAGGAGATGGTATGTATAGGCGCCACAAGGCAGGGGGATGGCTGGCATGCTTAACACACAGCAAGAAAGCCTCATCTCTTCTTCATGCCTGCCTCACATTCAATATATTTAAATATGGTTCCTTCCCCATCATAACCCTGCAATGGCCATTGCAGAAATCACCAATAACATTCATGTGTCTAAGTCTTATGGACATTTTTTTTTCAAGACGTATCTCTTCTCAGCAGAATTCAGCACTGCTGTTCCAACACATTTTTTCCTTTGGCTTCAGTGTCAACTCTATTCTACTTTGCCTCCTGATTGCCCAGAAAACTCCCACATTTCTGGCTACAACTCCTCTATTTGATTTGTGGGCTTCTTTTCCTTTATTTGGCCATTAAATTCTGAAGCTCTGTGAGGCTGAGTTCCAGGCCTTCACATCTTTCAATGCTATACTATTGTCTAGGTCATTTTCTTCTCCAAAGCTTTGGTTATTACTTATTTGCCAATGAGTATATCAAATTGTTAATACAAATTGCATCCTCAGAGTTCCAGATGACAACTGCTACATGGTATTAATATTTGACTGCTGGATGATAGTTTTACTTGAATGTTTCAGGGGCACCTCAAACTCAACTCCAAAATTGATCTAATGAACTTTCCCAAACCACATTCCCTTCTTGCATTTCTGAGAGAATGGATTCCCATTCATCTGACTACAGTGCTACCCTGAAAGCAGATCCAGAGACTAAGATTCACCTGCAGGTGATTCATTTGGTAGGTATCAGAATCTCTGGTAGGAGAACTGGGAAGTGGGGCAAAGACCCTTATAAAGAGTGAACTATGAAGCAGTTACCAGAATGGATAACTGTGGATTAAACTTGGAATAACTCTGAGATCCAGTGTAGATAACTCATCTCAGAAACATGCTGAGAGATAAAGGGTATTCGTACAACAGTTTCTGATAGTCATTAGTTATGGACTGTCTCCTAGCGGCATTGATTCCTCAGCATGCCCAACCTGCAGCAGGGACAGCAAAAGCGGCTTCTGTGATCAGAGAAAGCCCTCAGGTAAGGAAATGCAGGGGTGAATGCTGGAAGTCAGGCTGGCATGCACTGAAGTATTAGGGTGAGGCGCCATGGCAAGGTATCTGACCATCTTTCTAACCGTTCACCTCCATTTCCAATCTTTAAATACATTTTACTTCCCAAATATGTAATAATATGCATTTCCTTCAATTTCTACCACCACCTCTACTGACTGCCTCCATCTTTTTCAAATATACTTGCCTCATTCAGCACATTCACATTGTGCAACCACCACCTCTTTTGAGCTCCAAAACACTGCCATCACCCCATAGAAAACCCCAGTCCTCTTCCCCTCCATCCATGGCCGCCACCTGGAGTGTGTTTGGCCCATGGAGGACACTGCACATTGTTGGTGGGCATGATTAAATAGTTGCTGCTTTTCTGCAGTTATCACTGTATTTTGAGTGAAAGTTTCATAATTTTCAGTGTTTTATCTGGGTTGATAGGATCCAATTTTAGTTTTTGAGTTTCTTTTTTGAGCAACTATAACAATTTTAAGGATTAACATGTCATGACATTTATTCTTTACTAGAGGTCTTCCAAAGAACAAAGATAAATTTACTTATTTTAAAAACAGAATAAAATTCATCCTGTCTTGCAAAAATACACAAAAAAACAAAAACAAATATACTTGCCTCATAATTAGTTTCACATTTACCCTTGTCCTTCTCTAAACTCTTCACTACCGTGGCCACAGTTACTGTTTCAAAAAGGGAGATGAAATCATGTCATATTCTATTCTCTGTGCCTGAAATCCACTTTTCACCCTCATCTCCCTTTATTTAAAGTATGTTATTCATTTTTCTAGGGTCTCAACTCAAGCATTCCTTTCTCAAGAAGCCTTTTATGGTATGAAGAGTGAGACAGAGTTCCCTGCGCCACCTCCATTGAATCATGTTAGGCCTTAATGTACCTTTCCTTTATAACACTTACTGAATGATTAATTTGGCATTTATTTACCTGGCTATTTTATTCAGTGTTTAGGATTTATACTAGATTGTAAGCTCCTCAAGAGTGTTCCAGGTCTAGTTTAGGTCACCATGTATCCCTGATTAGTACCACACATCCCAGTGCACCATGGTTCTCAACAAATAACATGTTATATAAATCAATAAATGACAGGAACAAAGATGTTTTTCAATTTGTATTACAATGTTTTCTACTATCTGGCAGAATCTTAGTAGGATTTAATAGAAATCAGGCAATGTCTACTCCTTAACCTGACTTTGAGAGAGAAACACTGATTTTTAAGAATCACTCCCAATTCTGACTTTTTCTCATCATTATGTGGGTGAGGTAGAGATATTTCTGAGGCTTTTTTGTTCAGGAACTTGTCTCCTTGGACATTTTAACTAGGTCATCACTAGATCATTGCTACATGAAGTATGGTCTATTGACCGGCAACATCAGTGTCAGCTGGAGACTTTTAGAAATGCAGAATCTCCATTCTGACTGGTGTGAGATGATAGCTCATTGTGGTTTTGATTTGCATTTCTCTAATGACCAGTGACGATGAGCTTTTTTTTCATGTTTGTTGGCTGCATAAATGTCTTCTTTGAGAAGTGTCCATTCGCATCCTTTGCCCACTTTTTGATGGGGTTGTTTGTTTTTTTCTTGTAAATCTGTTTAAGTTTTTTGTAGATTCTGGATATTAGTCCTTTGTCAGATGGATAGATTGCAAAAATTTTCTCCCATTCTGTAGGTTGCCTGTTCACTCTGATGATAGTTTCTTTTGCTGTGCAGAAGCTCTTTAGTTTAATAAGATCCCATTTGTCTATTTTGACTTCTGTTGCCATTGCTTTTGGTGTTTTAGTCATGAAGTCTTTGCCCATGCCAATGTCCTGAATGGCATCGCCTAGGTTTTCTTTTAGGGTTTGTATGGGCTTAGGCCTTACACGTAAGTTTTTAATCTATCTTGAGTTAATTTTTGTGTAAGATGTAAGGAAGGGATCCAGTTTCAGCTTTCTGCATATGTGATCACTAAAAAGTCAGAAAACAACAGATGCTGGAGAGGATGTGGAGAAATAGGAATGCTTTTACACTGTTGGTGGGAGTGTAAATTAGTTCCACCATTGTGGAAGACAGTGTGGTGATTCCTCAAGGATCTAGAACTAGAAATACCATTTGACCCAGTGATCCCATTACTGGGTATACACCCAAAGGATTATACATCATTCTACTATAAAGACACATGCACAAGTATGTTTATTGCAGCACTGTTCAAAATAGCAAAGACTTGGAACTAAACCAAATGCCCATCAATGATAGACTGAATACAGAAAATGTGGCACATATACACCATGGAATACTATGCAGCCATAAAAAAGGATGAGTTCATGTCCTTTTCAGGGACATAGATGAGGCTGGAAACCATCATTCTCGGCAAACTAACACAAGAACAAAAAACCAAACACCGCATGTTGGCTCACTCATCAGTGGGAGTTGAACAATGAGAACACATGGACACATGGAGGGCAACATTGCACACTGGGGGCTTTTCAGGGGTGGGGGGCTAGGGGAGGGATAGCATTGGGAGAAATACCTAATGTAGATGATTGGTTGATGGGTGCATCAAATCACCATGGCACGTGTATACCTATGTAACAAACCTGCACGTTCTGCACATGTATCCCAGAACCTAAAGTATATATATCTATAAAAAGAAATGCAGAATCTCATGCCCCTCTGACTCAATAAGCATTTTAAAAAGTCTATCAGTATTTTGCATCACTTTGTTCCTCCAAGCCTTGGCCCAACACCTAGCACATAAGATGAAGTTTTGGGTGATGAATGAATATGCTAAAAAATAAGAGTGAAGGAATATATGAAAGGAGGGAAAGAACACCATGGGAAAGTGAAAATATATCATACTATGATATTTGAGTATTAGATCCTGACAATTTAGTTTCAACACTTTTGGTTTTGTATGATATGAGGAAATAGTGTTCACTTTGTCGGTATTAAGCTCATAGGTGTTAAAGCAAACTAAATATGGCCTGAGAAGGACTTGTACTTCCATATTTGAATCCTTGTGGATGAACTGTAACCTAGCTTAATAGGCAGACAAAATTGAAAACCTAACTTACGAGTATGCACCTGCAACAAATAGCTAAGTCTTAGCCAATCTCAGTGGCCATACTTCAATCATTAATACACTGATGAGGCAAATGCCAATCTGTAACCAATGCAGCTGTTCCTGTAACTCACTGCTGATTTCTGTATGTCATTTCCCTTTTGTTTGTCTATAAATTTACCACCACATGGCTGTGCTGGAGCCTCTGTGAATCTGCTGTGATTCTGGGGGCTGCCTGATTTGTGAATCATTCATTGCTCAATTCAACTCCTTTAAATTTAATTCAGCTGAAGTTTTTTCTTTTATCATATGTCTGGAAAAATCCTATAAGAGTAATGTAAACAGCATTTGGTTTCCAGGGTGGGATGCAGTTCCAGGAGAAAGGATACCATTCATTTCTTCTGAACGCCTTCAAGAGACATGTGAATGATAAATGTGCCTGATAACATCTCAGGCACGTTTGTGTTATGAGAGGAAACTAAGGAAAATCTGAAAGTTTCTTGGGTGTATAAATAGAGATGGCTGGAAGAAGATGGGGGAAAGTGAAAGCCATAACTGTTGAGAAAATTAAGCTTGTTGAAATATGCAAATTGGGTCTCGGCTCCATACACGGTTCTGATAGTTAGGACACTGAGACTGTCTCAAGAAGACAACCTTAAAGGCCTGAGAATCCAGTCTGTTTCCCTCTTCTAGGGCACCTCCTTCCCAGAAATGACACCATTAACACTTTTTAGCACTTATGTAAAGGTCTGGATCATTTGAAGTTACATGCCACTGTAGGACATTTTCTCTCTGAGTTGTTGGTAGACATTTATACTGTAGAGAAAATTTTGCACAATTTAAGTAACTATTTAGAAAATGAAACAAAAAATGGACAAATATGAAAAATATAGAAAAATTATTAATGGCACAGTTCATTTACATCAAATTGTTACTAATACTTTGCTGCATTACTCCTATTTTTTCTACTTCGAATCATATTATGACTAATTTTGAATTCTACTTTTTATTCTATTTTTATCACTTTAATAGCCTATCTTAAGTCTTTACCCATATTTTGGGATAATCTTTAAAAATATTTACTTTAATACGGGGAAGCATTCTATCATGTACACATACTACAGTTCTTAACAATAATCTACTGGTGGATGTTTCATTTATTTACATATTCCATTCATTCTCCAGGGCTTATTTTTCAATGAGGAAGCTTGAAGAATTGAGATAGATAAGAGGAAATGTAAACGTACAAAGTAGAGTATGTCTGAGGGAGGAGTACGAAACCAAGAAGCTGAAACTCTTGTCACACTTTATTTATGTGATGATTTTAGAGCATTGGTCCTATTGGAAGGACACTGGCAGGGTTCCTAAAACAGCACATGCTGCACTGAAGAGAACCTTGTTTCTTAAATGAGCTCTAGGCAACAAGTACATTTCCTTAGAACATTTATAGAAAATATGAGATACAACGAATGTCTTCGTGTACCTATGTATTGTTTTTATCTTTAACGATTAGGTGTGCCTATCACGCAATGTTTTTTACAGATTTTGCTGTCAAAGGCTCCTCAGTGGCTGCTTCAGCCAGCAGCTAGGACTTCAGGTCAAAGTCCTGTTATGCTGATGCAGCTTCATTTCCTGAAGCAAGATCACTCCCACTTCACTCTGATGGGAGAGTCTTCTTTCTTTACAACTATTAAGCTAAGATTTTTGAGTTAACATTTTAAAAATATATTTTTCCTTTTATTTTTAGTTGACATGTAATAATTATATTTATGAGATATAGAGTACTAGTCCAATACACATAGACAATATGGGGTGATCAAATCAAGGTAATTAGCACATCGCCTCATGCATTTAGCACTTCTTTGTCTTGTGAACATTCAAAATCCTCTCTTCTAGCTTTGTAAAAATACACAATAAATTATAGTTAACTATATTCACCTTACAGTACTACAGAAACATTTAAAACATTATTTCTTGAGATCTTGGTTCTTTAGGTGACTGTTGTGGTGGTGATTAATCAGTATCATGAAAATACTTATGTTGTCTATCATAGTATTTCAGAAGACTACAGTTATAGAGCTGGGTGCATACAATTACCAACCACAATGATATGCATTTACATATTTCACCTTTTGACCTATTTCTTCATGAATATAGTTCATCTGTTTATAACTCTTATACTTGTGTGACTGTTGATAGAAGGCCTGAATGTTTATGCTTGCAAAAATGTATGTTATCGCTTATTTTATTGTGTAAGGTGATCTTTGAAGTGTTCTGCTGTGTTTTTATTTTTGTGTTTTTATATGTTACTCAAATAAATACCTTTTAAAAATGTAAATAAATATATCTTAAAGAATTTTTAAAATTATTTTTTCCAGAATTAAATTTTCAGGATTTCAGTCTTTTGGGATGGCGATTTTTGGAATTTTAGACTTTAAGGATTTTGTTCTTTTGATTTTCAACATTCGATTATGGTGTTTGGAACTGTGTCTTTCAAGATTGTGATTGATTCCAAATGCAACACAGGGTTAAAGGAAAGTGGAAAAGACATGAAAAAAATCTGAGCTGTGCCTTATCTGAAGCTGTTGTGTGAGAATTATAGAAACATGTAGAGAGTAGACATCTAAAGTTAGGTTTCTGTCTGCTGGAATACATGAGTCAACCTCATCTTCCTTGGTCTCCCATTTGAGAAAGTGTTCAGCAAAGAGGAACACAGTGGCGCTCACATCCAAAATTTCTTAGAAGGCCTTTAAAAGGGTCAGTGTTGGAAGGTAACATTATCAAGTATAGCAGTTATTTGGAGCCCACCCAATAACCATATTGTGGTTACAAGCAGATGTAAAGGGCACTGCAGTCTTTCCTGATTTAGGAAGCAACGATTACACCTGACTCTTTAGGAGAGTATGTAGCAGACACATTTTGAGCCGTGGCTATCATACCCTGGACAGCTCCTCTTGGAGGAGTGGTGACTAAGAGCACGCTGTGTGTACACTCAGTCTTCACTGCTGACCTCCAGTCTCCACCTGCTTCATTTTTAAATAAATGTGCCAAGGTTTATTTTTGACCCTTCTGGATCATCCAACATTTCCAAGTGGACTCATCTAGGGATAACAGTGAGAAAGTTTTGGGAAGATCTCAAAAAGTGTTTCTTAACTGAGATCTTAATTGGTTCAGCCTTTAGGGAAAAAGGGAAAGATGATGAGGCTTGGGTCTAATCTGAATAATCAGTTGACCTTAAGCCTGAATCAGAATATCAAATATAATTGGAAGCCTTGATATATGTTTTTATACTAACATAGCTATGTTTTCCCACAAAATAGATGATACTGGATTTAGGACTGAAAATGTAAGAACAAGGGGTTCTATGAAGTCCAAGGATATAAAGACAGAAGTCAGTTATGGCAAAGAATTTACAAAATGCTTCAAAGGCTTATCTATCTCTTCCCTTCTTTCTACAATTCTGCACATGTGCCAGCCCCAAGGGTTCTGTACTTATGTTGAGATTTTTGGATCAATATCTGTTTTAGTGGTACTTAACTTTAAACTATTTGCCCACTTGTTTCATGAATTTGTCATTTTAGTTTCACTTAAGAAGTACATTGTCAAACTATAGTGAATTTGGCGAAGAACAACTAGAGGGGACTTAGAAGTACGGAAAATGAGTAACAGTAGAAGGAATTGGGATATTTAAATTGGAGAACAAAAAGTTTTATTGAAACAAATGAAGGGTAATTATTTAATAAAGCAATTGAATTTGTCCCATTTAATCTCTAAAGTACAGAATTACTATAATTCTATAGGGTGACACATTTTAATTCATCATGGAGACTTACTTTTTAACAGAGAAATATATGCAATGATGGAACGAGCTGAAGAACAATACTTTCTATCAGTTGCTTTTGTCAGATATAGGTTGGGAAAGTGGGAGAGGGTATCTAAGCATCAGATGCAAATTTCTTTCAATCTTGAAATTCCATGATACGATCTAAGATATTTCAAGAAAAAAACCATTCAGGTTGATTTCAACAACATAAAAAACTGTAATGGAAAATATTAAGGCTAATTAGAACGTGAAGTTTTATTAACATTGATAACAATAATAATATTTTCTAAGGAACACTAGTTGACAGCAGACAAAGGGAGGGGGGATGAAATACTGGACTTGTGGTCAGCAAAGTCCCAGGGTTATGCCACAGGACTACAAGTACTCCAACTCTATTAAGGAATAAATTGCTAATTTTTTTTTTTCCCCTGAAGCAATGTGTGTGGAAGTCTTTCACTTTCTGAGCCAAAACTTGAGGAGCTGACCCTGAGGTGGCAGTTTTCCTGGGGGAGCTGCTTAGATAGCTTTTCATGCAGGGATAGTCCCTCAATGCATTACCTTTTAGAGGCTATGGCATCAGGCCTCTATCCAGAAGGGGAGGAGGACTAGAGAGCGCTCAGGGGAGAGGGCGATAAGAGAGAGATTTGCTTGTCTAGGTGATGTTGCTGAGTAGCCCAGTGTGGACTCTGTGTCAGAGAGCTCCAAAGTACAGCAGCAACTTGGGGTCTTTACAGCCCCAGAATTTATCTTATCTATGGCATTTGAGTTAACAGGATTCAGCTTACTGTAAAGAAGTAAACACCCTAGGGGGGCTATATAAAGAAGCCCTCTTTGGCCCATTTGTCTAACAGATGGTCTCTGAAATTGTTTGCAGTGACTTTTTACCTTTTTTTTTTTTGCTGTGTTTTTCCAGATTTAGACATTTATACTTTCTCTCAAGCTCATGTCATGCCAACAAAAAGTAGAGAATTAAACTAATTAGTCTACACTAAGGTTTCCATTTACAAAAGAGAATTTATTTTAATATTATGAAAACAACATGTGCTTATTTTAGAAAAAAATAATAACACAGGAAAGTATAGGAAGTTTAAATCATCCACAATACCATTTCTAAGACCATTTCTAGCCTCCTCTGTTTCTCTGTATTTCGTATATTAGATATCTATGTAATTATTTTCAAAATTGGAATCGTAGTGCATGCAGTTTTGTTAATACTTTTGTTTAATATATCATGTGTCTTTCCCCATAGCACTATGTGTTCTTTGAAACATGATTCTTAATGAGAACATTATAGTCCATTTTTATCAATGTACTTTATCCTTCTGTTTGGGGGCACTTATAATTTTATGCAAAATCTCTGTAAATTTGTGAAAATATTCTCAGAAATAGATAACGTGTGTGTATTTTTAAGATGTTTACCTCGTTTTTGCCCATTTAACTCCGTAGCAAGGTAAGCTGTCATCAGTTGGAGGTAAGCGGAAGACAGTAGAGAGTACAGAGCCCTGGACTGTGACTCAGAGGATGAGCACCAGATCCAGTTTGCTGTGCCACAGTGGTAAGTCACCTAATCTTTATGTGCTTGGATTCCTCATATGTAATACAGGATCACAACTATTGTTCTCACTCATGCAATACTACTATTGTGAGAACCTCATGAATTAGAGAAACTCTGAATTTGCAATTTAGCTTTAGAACACTGACAAGTAGCTCATTGATTCTTGCCTCATTCCTCTGGAATAAAGTAGCTTTTTATCAAACAAGTGAACACATTGCTTTCAGTGGAGGCAGAAGGAATTCATTTTGAAAAATGCACATAGCATTCTCCAACCCATTTTTGCATATTCTTTTTTAAGGGAATGCCTTGTGTGAGAGGACTAGCAGGGTATCAGAACTGTTTTTTGAAAGAACTTTGTTTGCAGGTGCTTTCAAATATGTTGTCTTCAACTATCATTTTCAGTGTAAAAAGCGGGCTTGGAGTAAGCACTGCCTGCAGACCACTTTTGTGAGCCCTCCCTTCAGTGATGTGATGGCAATCCAGGCCCCTGCTGGGAGAGATTTCTGCCTGGTTAAACCTCTCACAGCTTCTAATCCTCTCTTTCTCATCTGGCTTTCCTTAGCCTTCTCCAAAGTCACTCACAGAAGGCATCCCACTCAACCTCACCTTGGGGTAAATCAAAATAGTCCTCCTTCTGAAGCTACCGGGTAAAGCGGTGGTAGCTGTGCAGCTGCTGCTGATCAACAGGCTCCAGAAACAGCAGCAGGAGGTGAGCAGTCCCTGCGTTGGCCACCAAGTGGTAGGTGGCCAGCCCTACCTCCAAGTTGCACTGTTTACTTATTCATCTTTCATGGTAAAGCCTCCAGTTGCCTATTATGAAATCAGCAATAATCATGTGTCCCCTATCTGGGTCCCTGAAAAGATGGAAAGAGGCAGATCAGGCTGGTGCTCTGAGAATGACAGACATCAAACAAGAATGAAAAGTGTCACCCTCCTTGGACTTATTCAGTAACTCATGCCCTTGAGCAAAGGAGGATTTTCTATCAAAGGACATGGATTTCTGTGTCTTTCTCTTGAGATAACATTGCTGGGTGACCACAGAAAGCTGGCTCTGGAAGCACAGAAGCTGCCTTTCCTTGAGTAATAATGTCTCTTCAAAGGGAGCTGGAGCATGAGTAGTGTACATGCCTCAGATTTCAGTGAAAAGTTCAGAGGAGGCCTGAGAAGGTCCTGGGAATGAATCATCTAGATGACTCAACCTTGCAAAGCCATCCACCTCATTGTGGATATCATTCAATACATTTGGTGCTCCATCATCCTATTTCCATGGCTATTTCCTCACATTTTTCAAAGTCCGTTTCTTGAGCCCTGACTGTGTCAAATAGCATGCCCTGTTATTCTTGGGCTTCCCTCTCTATTCTAGCATTCAGGGAGATTTCAGAGGCTGGGGTAAATCTCAGACCAAGAAGACGCAATGGTTTTGAGGTAGAGATCCTAGGAATATAGAATTCTGAGCTATGCAGTGGTCCTTTGCTTTCAGGAAATCAAGTTTGATAGTATCACCTGAAGCATACTTACATTATCCACAAATGACAGCTCCTTACTTGAGCAGTTAAATTGTGGCAAGTCTTAACACACAGATTCCTCTTAAATGCCACCTAATCCCTGCCTGGCTTCAAGCCTCTGGCTTCCCTTGGAGAGGGGCAGAGTCTCTCTGTGTGAGAGATTCTTCATTTCTGCTTTCTGCTCTGTCAGTTTCTACTTACTTGCTCTTCCACCTTGTCCACAAGGCTTATCTAGCGGCTGTTTACCTCTGAGCAGAGAAAATGGAAGTCAGCAGAGACAAGGTTGAAATTTCTCAGGAAGGATTTTTTTTTCCACTTTATCGTGCAGCAAGAGTAAAGCCTTTTTTTCGGTGATTCTTTCCTCCACAATGGCCATTGGCTGCCCTCTGTCACACACAGGTGTGACTCCCTTGTTATTAACTGTCAGGTGGGAATTTCTAGGGAAGAAGGAGAGTGCTTTGTTAACCTCTTAACATCTCCCCAAATTGCATCATATTCTCTCCCTTTTCCCTCCCAGCTACCTTTTCTATTTTTGATTTCCTCTTTTTCAGTCTGATTTGGGGATTTCAGTTCCCACTAACTTTGTATAATATCCTCCTATCTCTGAAAGAACAAGTTCCATCTCCATTTTCCAGGAGAGTTTTTTTCCTTGCAGTAAGAGCACCCCATCATCTCTCCATTTCTACCTCCCCATCCCAGTGCTCTCTTTATGGCAGTATAATTGAAGAGGGACCCACAGTCTTGCTGAAGGAACATGACCTTCCTACTGAAGTTGGGATTACGGAATAGAGGGAGAAGAGGAAAGATGGATGTTTATCTGAATGGTCGGATCTTGTTTTCCAGAGGACACAGGCCAATGGGAAACTTTTGGGAAGGAAGTCAAAAAATCAAAGCCAGAACTGGGTTTTGGTAATTTAATCTCCCAAAGAGAGAAAAGTCCCCATACTCTAATTCATATTTTGTTTGACTTGACTGAAGCCCTTTTGAATATTTTTTCTGCTTCTGTTCTGTTCTTGCAATAACAATGACATAAGTTTGCCTTTGGAGACATTAAAATAGTTTTCTCATCTCTTGTTCCAAGCATTTATTTTATTTTATTTTTTTGGCGTATTTATTTATTTATTTATTTATTATTACAGTACTTTTAAGTTTTAGGGTACATGTGCACAATGTGCAGGTTAGTTACATATGTATACATGTGCCATGCTGGTGCGCTGCACCCACTAACTCGTCATCTAGCATTAGGTATATCTCCCAATGCTATCCCTCCCCGCTCCCCCAACCCACAACAGTCCCCCGAGTGTGATGTTCCCCTTCCTGTGTCCATTTGTTCTCATTGTTCTCACCTATGAGTGAAAATATGTGGTGTTTGGTTTTTTATTCTTGCAATAGTTTACTGAGAATGATGATTTCCAATTTCATCCATGTCCCTACAAAGGACATCAAGTCATCATTTTTTATGGCTGCATAGTATTCCATGGTGTATATGTGCCATATTTTCTTAATCCAGTCTATCATTGTTGGACATTTGGGTTGGTTCCAAGTCTTTGCTATTGTGAATAATGCCGCAATAAACATACGTGTGTGTGTGTCTTTATAGCAGCATGATTTATAGTCCTTTGGGTATATACCCGGTAATGGGATGGCGGGTCAAATGGTATTTCTAGTTCTAGATCCCTGAGGAATCGCCACACTGACTTCCACAATGGTTGAACTAGTTTACAGTCCCACCAACAGTGTAAAAGTGTTCCTATTTCTCCATATCCTCTCCAGCACCTGTTGTTTCCTGACTTTTTAATGATCGCCATTCTAACTGGTGTGAGATGGTATCTCATTGTGGTTTTGATTTGCATTTCTCTGATGGCCAGTGATGATGAGCATGTTTTCATGTTTCTTTTGGCTGCATAAATGTCTTCTTTTGAGAAGTGTCTGTTCATATCCTTTGCCCACTTTTTGATGGGGTTGTTAGTTTTTTTCTTGTAAATTTGTTTGAGTTCTTGTGGCACATATACACCATGGAATACTATGCAGCCATAAAAAATGATGAGTTCATGTCCTTTGTAGAGACATGGATGAAGCTGGAAACCATCATTCTCAGCAAACTATCGCAAGGACAAAAAACCAAACACCGCATGTTCTCACTCATAGGTGGGAATTGAACAATGAGAACACATGGACACAGGAAGGGGAACATCACACACCGGGGCCTGTTGTGGGGTGGGGGGAGGGGGGAGGGATAGCATTAGGAGATATACCTAATGCTAAATGACAAGTTAATGGGTGCAGCACACCAACATGGCACATGTATACATATGGAACACACCTGCAGGTTGTGCACATGTACCCTAAAACAAAGTATAATAAAAAAAAAGGTAGGTATCAAAAACATAACAATTCAAACCCTCTTTTAATTAAAGTTGGTTCTTGTATTAGTAGTAAGCAGGGAGCTTGGGGGGAGAGATGTGTACAAGTGTAGATGGGAGGTTCCCAGGTAAAGTTCTTGATTGGGAAGGTTCATTTGATTGTATGACATGTTCCTCCATTCTCTCTGTCTCTGTCTCTGTCTTTTGTTTTTGTTGTTGTTGTTGCTCTAAGCATCTAGAATGAAAACCACAAGGCCAGGGTTTGCTATCAAGGACCACTCTTTCCTTTGCAGAAAAAGCTGGTTCTGAGTGAAATAGAAGGACTAGGGTGCCAAATTAACTCCTCTCCACAAAGTGACCCCACATGGAAAAGTACTTGAGAAGCTCTGTAAAGACATGGTAAAAGCTTACCAAAGACAGTAGCATTATCCTTTCCCTTACACACAAAGTGGAGGGGAAGTGTGGGTAAGTGGTGTGTCTAAAAGCATTGCTTTAAATTATGCATCCATTTGTAAACACTAATTTTTTGTTAACTCCATGTTGTTTGTAAATTGAACAAAAAATGCATATTTGTCATGGAAAAATTAGGAAATAAAGATATTAGCATAAAAGAGGAAACAACGAATCTTAATTACCCATAATCCCATGACTTCATGTTTGTGTAAGATTATATAATACTATTGTTTCATGATCTGCCATTTTCACTCAGTGACATATTTTGCACGTGAAATACGTTTTACATAAATATTTGTATAATTTGACTAGTTATTACCTTAAAACTACTGGAAAGAAATCCCTTAGTTCTTCTACTTCACTCATTTCTTCTCTACAGTATTCATTTCTGGGGTAAATCCAGCTCTTTGGCTTGCATGGCCATGTAGTTCTGAAGTTAGCTACACAGGACTTAGCCACATTTCCCAGAATAGGATGTATGGTACAGCAGAATTCTTACTGAACTTGAAGTCAGAAGAACTGGTTCCTTCACTTACTATGGGTGACCTTGGACAGTATACTTGATTTCTTTGAATCTCATCAGTGAAATGAGTATGGGAATGTCTACCTTAACTGTGTGATGACAGAATTTGTGAGGATGAACTGAACAACTATATAAAAGTGTTTGGGAAATGCTGAAGAGCCCTACAAATGAAAGACATTAATAATATTAACTGAAATAGATTCCATAAATACTATGTGTAAGATCCTACCTTGATTTACCGCATTTAATCATCAAATCCACTGTCTGACAAAAGTATTATCATTAGTTCTATTTTATAGTCTAAACAAATCTAGGCAGAAAGGTCAAATAATTTGCATAAGCTCACACAATCAGTGACTTAGATTTGATCCAATCTATTTCATTCGATAGTGTTGGTCTTTTCCCCTAATAGTAGTAAAAACTGTGGGCTCCATTGTTAGCCTGCCTGAGATCAGATGCCATCTCCAACTAGGCAAGTTACCTTTTCTGCCTGTTTCACTCTTCAAAAATTAGAGATACAATAATACCAACCCAATTTCTTTGGGTTTCATAAGTAGGAAATAAAATAATACATAGGAAAGACTTGGAACATTGCCTGACACAAAATAGGTGTCTTAAAACGTTAATTATTATTATTTTCAATGTTGCCAAGACAGTGAACCCTGTGGTGGTGAATTTGCATGTGAAAACCTGTTAAACTGATACACACTCTTTCTTTTCTCCTAATATTGTCGCACTTGCACCTTATGTCCTAAGTTTTCTAGTAATCTTGAATGTACATAATGTTTAGTTGTGAAATAAATTTTGCTTTGTGAGGGAATTAGTTGTAATTGAGGGTAGAATCAAAGTTTGTTCAGCGAATTCCATCTATTCAGTTGTAAAGGCAGCGAATAAACACCATGACTTGTATTTGAAAGTAGAAAATACCGACTTTCAATTGTCATTTCCCCCGAGGAAACCATTAACCAGCACAATTGTTTTTAAATATCAACCTGAAATAACACTGTATTTTTACTGCTATTCTTTCTCTCTCCTTCTCTCTCTTTGGGATACAGTTTGGCTTTGAAAAAATATGGTATATATGCGGTGTTTGGTCAAATAATTTAGCACTATGGAAAAGGTTGTGAACCAGTCATAGTATTTGAGGTTGTAAGAAGAAACCTTTGAAAAGGTAGTGGCTGCACAAATGTATTAACTTAGTACCACAAAGTAGGGAGTTCTGAAACTGTGGTGGAAATATTGCCTGCCTTGACTACCTGTTCTTCCTGAGTCCATTTGCTGATCAGAACTCAGGTAACTTAAAAGTCATATACCCTGGAAAGGAGTATGGAAACAGGAAAGATCCTCAGCGGCTATACAAGTGAGAGATATGGCAGAGTTCTAATAAGATTGACTAAAAGCTTGATACTGTCTTACATCCAAGGAGCAAATAATTGTTCTACCTGGAATGTCCAGGCCCCAATTCACAAATGCATTCCTACCTTTTGAACTGAATAATGATCTCTTTCCCAATAAACTGTTATAAGACAAAAAATCTGAAAGGAAAATTGTTGCACATACATCATATTCTTATATTCTGTATTTTCTGGGACAGTCTGTTTCAGATTAGATGATGAGTCCTAATTCAGGTTTGCAAAATATTATCAAGGCAAATCTTTATGGAGATTTTATTGAGATATTATTTTATAACAAAAAATGGGATAACTGTAATGTTCATCAAAAAAATTGGTGGTAGAAGGAAGGAAGGTGTTGGAGTGTTCAGTAACCTTACCCCAGAATGCCACAGTACAAATTCTGTGAGAAGTCATTCTTGTGTAGTAGAGGCGTTCATTTTTCTCCTAATATCCCTTCTGAAAATTCCCTTTTACTAGTCAGCTCTTAGCTTCTTGGAAAGAAGGCCCTTCGTCTAGGACAATGTTCATCTCCCCACATAAAAATTCACAATTCATGGCATGTTAGTTCAATAAAATATTATGCTTTCTAAGAATGATAATTATGAAAACTTGCTATAAATGGGAGCAAGTTCAACATTAAATCACATGAAACAGACATATTAACAAAAATAGATACATTAGAGCAATTGAACTATAAATGCTTTTTTCCTTTAAAAATTTTCCTTCATGTTATTTTCACATTCTTTTAGCAACAAATGACAATGAACTGCCATTGATTTTATTTTTTGAACTTAAGCAGTGTATCCACAAGTACACCATTGCCCTGTCCAATTTTTAGGGGGAGATATTCTATTATCTAAAACTCAATAAATTGACCCATCACGTTTTTGGTGATACCTTATTTAGGTAAAAATATTAGGCATTTAGAAGAATGCATTTGTGAATATTTTGACTGATATTACTATAGATGGAATTAGAATCTGCCCTTTAGGGGCTCAGAAGGAAGTAATGTTTGGATGTCCTTAGGCTAGAATATTTTATTGTCCCACAAAAATGTTGATAAATTGCTTATAAGGGCTTATTTATTAGAAATGACCATGTCACCAAATAATAAAGCCAAATATGATAGGAATCACAATCAGAAAATATGTTTTTTCTTCTTTTATTTACAACCAACCAAACAAAATAACATAGCTGTAATTTTGTCAATGTCAGAACAATAAATTTAAGTCAAATAGAACTTAAAGAATTTTTATCACAGATGAATCAGATGGAAACTATCCAGAAAACACCCAAATATGTACATTCCTCAGTTAATACTCAGTCTAGGTGCCAAAGGGAAGCCACACGCTTCCATTTATCTATATAATTTGGCAACTTTAATTTGTAAGGGGCCCAACAGGTGTTTAATTTCATAGGCTGATATAGTCAATATTACTAGATCCATATTTTTTAGATTTAAATAACTATATAATTCTGATTTCTCTTTGTTAGACTGTACTGATCTGATCATGGAGGAATAATCTAATATGGCTTAGATTATGTTGGAACTCCCCAGAACTTTCCTCAGGGCTGCCTTTATCTCCTTATTCTGGAGGCTATAGATAAGGGGATTGAAGAGTGGGGTCACCATAGCATAGAACAAAGTTTTGATTTTCTGCATCCCCATAGAGTGTCCAAGTCCTGGACTCACACACATGACCATAAGAGAGCCATAGAACAGTGATACCACAGCCAAATGAGACCCACAGGTAGAGAAGGCTTTATGTTTCCCAGTGCTCGAAGGCATACCCAACACAGCTTTCAGGACAAGAGTATAGGATCCAATAATAAAGAGGAAGTTACCAAAAATAACTAATGAGCTTAGAGTGTAGCAAAACAGTTGGATTCTTGGGGCAGAGACACAAGCCAATGCAAATAGTGGCCCTGGGTCACACACAACATGGTCATTAATGTTTGGACCACAGAAGGGCATCTGAGAGATGAGAACAGTGGGGATCAGGAAACACAGAAATCCACAAACCCAGCACAGTATGACCAGTTTGGCACAGAGATGCCCAGTCATGATTTATTAGGATAGTGCAAGGGATGGCAGATAACAAGGTACTGATCAAAGGCCATCACAGTCAAAATCAAGCATTCAGATGTACCCAAAGAGAAGAAGAAATAAAATTGGAGAAAACATCCAGCAAAGGAGATGGTTTTTTTCTCTGAAAGGAAGTTGACCAACATCTTGGGAACTGTAGAAGAGACATACCATATCTCTAAAAAGGAGAAATTTCCCAGGAACATGTACATGGGAGTGTGACGTCGCCGGTCACACCACAGGGCGCAAGCAATGGCTCCATTTCCTGTTATGGTCAGTGCATATGTTGTAGTGAAGAGTGAGAAGAGGAAGATCTGAATTGTCCACTCAAAAGATAAATCTTGGAGTATAAATTCATTTACTAAAGCAAAGCTGGAATTTGGCTCAGAGACATTCATTGGGCCAGTGACCTGCAAGGTCAAGAGACACATTATCAGTCAGGACTGTTTTACAAAATGAGTTCCTTTTTTAAGAATGAAGAGAAGACAATGAACATGAAGTCATTTTTCAAAAGAATAATTAGGAAGAGAATATAGTTTACTTTTTCTTGGCTATACAGTATATGAGTTTTGGGCTTAGTAGGTAGCTGATTGAACAAAAACTTCTGCCAGCTTCTAAATCTCTCCTTAATATGCAATCGTGATAGAACTAGGTAAAGTTAAATTCCTTTTGTAAGGTCATTATTTTGGGACAGAAATGATTTAATATAGTTTCTGGATAGCATACAACCCAAAGTTAGTACTTTGAGAAGGCACAAATGTGTTAGTTTCTTACTGCAAACCCAACTTATAGTGCAATAGACTCAGCAAGGAAAGTTTTGACCATTTACATTTCAGCTAAACATATTACTTAACATTATTTACATATGCAAAAGAAATGCACATATTTTAAAATAAATTGGTAGCTATCACGTTAAAGCCATTATCTCTGAATTTCTATTGCTGCTGTTGTTAGCTTAAGTGATTATCTAATGTTGCTTACCAATATTGACTTTTAATATTAATATTGTAAAGCTGCATTGTTTTCTGTAGAAAGGGAAGGCTTTAAGTTTCTGATTAATCTTTTACCTTAATTTCATAAACTGATACAGTGATTATTATATTGATAAAATCAATACAGTATTGATTTAGTCATTATGTACAAAAGTTTGCAAAGATCTAGACATTAAACTTTATTTTTGAAGGTATTTCATAAAATTTGGAGATTGATTTTCCTTATATGCTTTTTATAAAATTGAAAAATTTTACTAAATGACAGAAATTAAACACTTTTTTTTGTTATAGGTAAACTTCCTCCTACATTCTTCTAAAAATATATTTAGGGATTTGAGTTACCTGAAAAAACTTTTTTTTCCTCAGAAATATGGAGGGATGTGAGTTCTAGACGTCAAGAGGGCTTGCATTTTGAGAAGAAACACAAATTTTCAGAAGTTTTTCTTCCAATTTGATCTCTACACCAGTGCTCTAGGAATTCTTTTGGTATGACTAGTTAGAAGTTATGTTTGTGCCTCTTTTAGTAATAGATGCCTCTTTAATTGGCTTCCAACCAGAAACATTAATAAACCAACATTAGGAAATTATGGAAACGGATTGACATGGGAGTGTCATGATTCTCAGCAGTGCTCAAAAGGTGAAGCCATCATCGTTTTGACATGAACCAAATCTCTAAATGATTTATTTTATAAACCATATTCTGCCTCCACCTAGACAGTTTTATTGTGGCCCCAAAATTAAAAATGCACTTTATAAAACTCACTTTCTCCTGGGATGTAGCTTCTATAGCATTAGGAAAGTTATCTTCCAAGCCAATGAATCTTTAAAAAGTTAATGATTAGATATTCTCTGAAGAATCAGTAAAGAGTAATGACAACTATTCTAAGACATCATTATTTACAAAGAGCTTGCCCACCAGACGGATTCCAAAAAATCTTCCAGAAGACACAGTCTGAGGAGAAATAAGATACAAAATGTTACCAAAAGTTCTGACATAATGTTTAGGAACATTTCAAGTGTTACTGTGCATATATGTTGGAGGATATACAGCCCAGTGAGGAAAATACTGATGTTCCAACATTGTCACATATTGAGCAAAAACTTACAGAATTTAGAAATAACTTTTAGAAGGATGGCACTTTTTTGGCAGATTCCTTTAGATATGAGAAAAAAGTATAAGAAGTAGCAACGTTTAAGTTAATTGACAGAAATACTTGAGAGGAACATGTGACTTCCCAATTAACATGAGAGAAGTATTGACTTTTATTTGTGTCCCTTCTATTTTTACTTTATGGCATTTAGGGGCCAATATAGTGTAGCTAAACACTCATGTGTGAGTGAATGCTCATACCAAGTGCTGTGAAGTAGTTGAGGACATCAGGGATGTATGCCCTAGGACTACAGACATCTGTCTAAAAGCACACTTCCACTTTGAAAGACTATGGAGGAAAATGTTTATTCAGACCTTTATTATCACTTAATCATAATACTTAGAAACTCCTAAAACATAGCTTTGATCTTGTTGTCTGCTCCAAAAGCCATCAATGATTTCAAGTTCCCAAGTTCTCCACAAATTGACTTCAAATTACTTTCCTGGTGTTATCTTTCCCTACTCTCTTTTACAGATAAATTAGACAGTAGACAGCATTTCATTCTCTGAATAGGTTCAGTTTCCTATGTTCTCTTTTTTGTGATCATTTTCTGTGTTTGGAATTCTATTTATCTCCACCTACACCTGTAAAAACCCTCCTTCAAGATCCAGTTCAAAAGACATTTTTCCCCCCAGAATGTTTTCCCCTCTTCCCCTAAGCAAAGCACCTTTTCCATCCTTGCATTTTTTCTTTTTTGAGACATAGTCTCGTTCTGTCCCCAGGCTGGAATGCAGTGGTGTGATCTCAGCTCACTGCAACCTCCGCCTCCTGGGTTCAAACAATTCTCCTGCTTCAGCCTCCTGAGTAGCTGGGACTACAGGTGCGCGCCACCATGCCCAGCTAATTTTTGTATTTTTAGTGGAGACAGGGTTTCACAATGTTGGCCAGGATGGTCTCTATCTCTTGACCTTGTGATCCACTTGCCTCGGCCTCCCAAAGTGCTGGGATTACAGGTGTGAGCTACCATGCCTGGCCCCATCCTTGAATTTTTATTTTACCATCTTTGTGTCTTTGTCATGATACTAATCATAAGCTGCCCTATATCAATGTTCATCCATGATATTGGCTTGAAGTTTTTTCTTGTTGTTGTGTCTCTACCAGGTTTTGGTATCAGGATGATGCTGGCCTCATAGAATGAGTTGGACAGTTCTCAGTTTTTTGGAATCATTTCAGCAAAAATGGTACTGGCTCTTCTTTGCATATCTGGTAGAATTTGGCTGTGAATCCATCTAGTCCTGAGCTTTTTAAAATATATATATATTTTGGTTGGTAGGCTATTTATTACTGATGCAATTTTGGAGCAGGTTATTGGTGTGTCCAGGAATTTACCCATCTCTTACAGGTTTTCTAGTTTGTGTGCATAGAGGTGGTTGTAGTAGTTTCTGATGGTTATTTTTTATTTCTGTGGGGTCAGTGGTAACATGACCTTTTTCATTTCTAGTTGTGATGTTTCTTTCAAAAGATTAGAATGGTAAAAATTATATCTATTCTGATTAGGGCTTCTAGGCATTATTAAATGTTTACACCTTTAATTTACTCTGGTCAACAGTATATTTTTGGGGACTTTTTCTTAAATAATCTTGTCACTAAACCACTATACTTTATAAACAGCCTGATTAAATGAACATGCATTTGAACATTAGACTCTGGATAGACAAGATTAATTAACCTTTGACACAAGAAGCTCACAGTACAACAGGCCACTCTGATAGGACAAAAGTCCTAGGAAGTCTATGTCGGCAAAATCCCACCTAAGGGCTGAACTTTAAGCTCTATTCACTTTTAGCTAATTAAGTAAATATACTGCCATCCCATGCTGATAGTGATGAGCAGTCTCCGGGGAGTTTGACTTCTATAGGGAGGGAGGGAGGCGATGTGTTTCTGCACTTTGCTTCTTCAGTCAGACATTCTGTGACTTCTTCATTTCCTTCCGCTCCTCTTCAAGCCCTGGCATGTTGGCTCAGAAGCACAAGAGGGCAGGATAATCCTCACTGTCTCATTCACACTGACTGAAACCCTGGGCTTTGAAATACAGACTCACTCCTCCCAAGCTCTACTCTGATGCTGGGAGCAATTTAGAGCAAATGTTATCCAAAGTGACATTACCTAGATCACTAGGTTCTTTCTTTCACCCTCCTCCAATCCTGCTGTTCTTTCACTTCTAAGTCAAGGAAACTCCAAGTTTACACTTTGCAGGAGCCCCTGGAATATTTGGGGTTTCATATTGCACATCAAAACTATTTCTCACTGACCCAATCATCTATTAAAAATCTTGTTGAATTTCTGCCATTTTAATGGCTATCTGCCTTCATATGAAGTTCTTGGTATTATAATAGTCAGTGTGCTTCCAAATTAATCCCAATTCGTTTACTTTTACTTTAAGATGAAATGTAGGCAGAGCACAGTGGCTCACACCTGTAATCCCAGCACTTTGGGAGGCCAAGGCGGGTGGATCATGAGGTCAGGAGTTCAAGACCAGCCTGGCCAACATAGTGAAACCCTGTCTCTACTAAAAATAGAAAAAAAAAAAACAGCCAGGCATCGTGGCAGGCACCTGTAATCCCAGCTACTTGGGATTCTGAGGCAAGGAGAATCGTTTGAACCTGGGAGGTGGTGGAGGTTGCAATGAGCCGAAGTCGCGCCACTGCACTCCAGCCTGGGTGACAGTGCAAGACTCCGTCTCAAAAAAAAAAAAAAAAAAAGAAGAAGAAATGTAGCTTAGAAACCATTCTTCCATAAAACCAAAACCATATCTCCTTAAGAGGATGTTGGAAAATCAGCCTTTCTCATAAAGTAGTTTTCCCCACAAGTTTAAACACATTACTCCACTATAAGTTTAGAGACTATTTTAAAAAACTATTATGCTTCAGCTTTTCCTGCAGTTCTCTCTTTCTTGTCTCTTACATACTTCTCTGTGATCTGGTCCAACAATTATTGCCATGGCAACAAAGGCTCTGTGACATCTCTAGCAAGCTCATTGTCTTCTGCCTTATTAAACTTTAATGGGTAACTAGTAGACAGTAACACTCTGGGAGGGCTCAAACCACATAACCAAATGTGCCAAGATAATCCTGAGCTCACTATTGTCAGGTAAGGCAAAGTATTTTAGTGCAATAGCAAACAATTAATTAAACAAACAAAAACAAGAAACCTTTCTTGGGACAGGAAGCCATTAATTAGCTAAGCTCAGAGCCACTCATTGAAACTAGGTCCTGATTGGGTTTCTGGATTTGACCACTGGGCAGAAACTAGGACCCAAAACCAATTGGAATGAAATGGTCCGCAGATATTGTTTTCATGTAAGGATAGGTTTGGAAGTATCCAGACTTAGTGGTGGGCCAGGCCTCCCCTGCGAGCAGTACAGTTCAGGACACCTGGACTGCCCTTTCCCTCTGCCTTCCCTGGGGTAATGTGAATGGCTTAGTCTTTCGTGTTCTCAACTGTAACATGGAGGAGGAAGAGAAGAGCCTCACTGCACATATTGGGTCATTAAGAATGATCTTAGAGCCATAATTTACAATATTTTGAAGTTAGGTTTGATTTTTACCACTCCACTACTCCTCTCCCAATATGTTGTGCCAAATTGTAAGTAATTTGCAATTAGAACACATTGAAGACATATATTTGAGCTCCTTAGAGAGTCTCACCCACCTTTGTGGTAACTTTTTGTACTTCAGGTTTTCTCAAGTCAGAGTGTTGAGTCCTTAAATCAGTGTTGGGTAGTGATAAAATTTTGATACATTGGGTAGTGATAAAATTTTAATTGCCTAAGTTTAGTAAATGGGGGACAGGCTTGCTTATCAACAGTCTTTGTGGCATTTTATGCTGAAAAAGCCTTGAGGCTCAGACTCAGCCCACAGTTCTCTGCACTCCCTCCACTTCCCTTCTGTGCCTTTCATGTGTATCCTTTACAGCAATTTTTTTTTGTGAGTTCTTTTCCTTTTTGAGATCTCTCTTAAGGTTAATGGTGTACAGTAGATATCCAGAACTTATTCATCCCTTTTAGCTGAAACATTGTACCCTTTGACAAATGTCTCCCCATATCCCCTGGGCACAATTTTCAATAGGTAGTTAGGGAAAGCCTCAATGAAAAGGTTGGGATTTTGGGATGCTGATAACATTCAGTTTCTGGAACTAGGTACCTTTACACAGGAGTATCAGTTGATAACAATTCATTGAGCAATATACTTAGGATTTGTGCACTGTACTTTTTGTATGTTATAGATGAATAAAAAATTCAGAAATCTCATAAAGGTGATATTTGGATAAAGACTTGAAGGAAGTGTGGAGGCAACAAATATAAACATCTGGGGAAAGAGGGTTCCAGGCAGAGGAGATGGCATGTGTAGGTGCCACGAAGCAGGAGCACGCCTGGCATGATTGAGACGGCAGGGAGTCCTCATCTCTTCTTCACCTACGCTACATCTCTGAAATGGCCATTTCAGAAAGCATGAAATTTATTTACATGAGTTTATTTTAACAAATGCTCACTTTTGATATTTTACAAGAGTAACTACAAGTTTATTATAGAAAAATTTGAGAAAACATACATATGCATGAGAATACAACATAACCATTTAACATTTAAAATTTTTCCTTTCATCACACTTATATTCATAATGTTTGTAATTAAGTGTAAAATTTACTATACATGTTTATATTATTTATATTTATATTTTAATATTAAAAACTGATTAGTTAATTCAATAATAATAATTGATTGTGAATGTTCCAGGGACTACTCTAAATGCTCATGCACATAGCAGTGAACAAAATGTACAAAAATTCCTATGTGGAACTTATATTCCAAAGGGAGACAACAGGTGTTAAATAAATAAGTAAACTATAGTATATTAGGGAGTGATGAGGAAACGTGGAGAAAAATTAGAAACGTCAGGTCAATAGGGAGTGTGTGTGGGAGCTGGCAGAGGTGCATTTTACCCCCAGCCTTACTAAGATGTAATTGACAAAAACAGTATATAGATTCACATGAGAAGAAAAAACAATTCACAGAACTAGCATTTGACTGTTTGGTGAGACATTCTGGAGTTTAAGCTGTCATTTAAACCAGTTACGATTTTCCATAGGGAGCTACTCTGTCACTTGGGTCTTTTCCCAGTTAAGCAAGGCTACTTTCCATGGAATCATTATCCAGTATATGAGGCTCACTTGGCACTTGTTCAATATGCGCTTGCCTTATAATAGGTGATTGGATATTTTTTATTAAAAAACTATGCATTTGTGGCATACAAGATGATTTTTTGATATGTATACATGGTGAAATGATTAATTCAAACTAATTAACATTTATCACTTCTACATACTTTCATTTTATTGTGTGAGAACATTTAAAATCTCTTCTAAAAATTTCAAGTATACTTTTGGCCCTATGTTTCCATGAGTTCCACATTCAGGCATTCAACCAACTGGATAGAAACTATTAGTACAAAAAACCCACAAAAAATACAGTAAAAGCAATAAAAATAAAAAAATGCAGTATAACAACTACTTATAAAACATTTATATTTTATTAGTATTATAAGTAATCTATAGATGATTTAAAGTGTATGGAAAAATATGCGTAGGTTACATGCAAATATAAAATGATATCATTTTATATAAGGGACTTGAACATCCCAGGATTTTGGTGTCCTTGGGGAGTCCTGGAACGAATCGCCCCCCTGATATTGCAGATATTTAGGGACAATGGTATAACACATGACTGTTAACTACAGTCACTATGCTGTACAGTAGATCTCCAAAACTTATTCATTCTGTTTAGCTGAAACATTGTACCTTTTGACCAATATCTCTCAATTCCCCTGAGTGGAATTTTCAATAGCTAGTCAGGAAAGGCCTCACCGAAAAGGTGATATTTGGTCAAAGATTTGAAGGGAGTGTTAGGGAAAGAAATATAAATATCTGGGAAAAGAGCATTCCAGGCAAAGGAGATGACATGTATAGGGACCACAAGGCAGGAGCATGCCTGCCATACTTGAGAGACAGTAAGGAATCTTCATCTTTTCCTCATGTCTTTCTCACCTCCAATATATTTAAATATGGCTTCCCCCCACCACACCCTTAAAATGGCCATTGCATAAATCACCAATAACATTTGTGTTAGTCCATTTTACGTTGCTATAAAGGAATACCTGAGACTGAGTAATTTATAAAGAAAAGAGGTTTATTTGGCTCATGGTCCTGCAGTCAGTACAAGCATGGCATCAGCATCTGCTTAGCTTCTGAAGCCTAAGGAAACTTCTACTCATTGAAGAAAGCAAAGAGGGAGCAGTTGTGTCACATGGCAAGAAAGGGAGCTAGGTGGGGAGGGGGTTGTCCCATACTCTTTTTAACCATCAGATCTGATGGTAACTCTACTATGGGTAAAATGCAAACCCATTCCTGAGGGTTGGGTTGGATACCATCACCATCCCATGAGGGATTCACCTCCATAACACAGACACCTCCCACCAGGCACCCCCTCTGACACTGGGGATCACAATTCAGCCTGAGATTTGGAGGGTGCGTTGAATATAATGTGAGCTGTAGGCTTGTAATACATGGTCTTTATTATGTTGAAGTATATTTCTTCTAAACCAACTCTGTTGAGAATCTTTTCATGAAACAATGTTGAATTTTTCAAATGCTATTTCTGCATCTAATTAGATGATTATATAATTTTGGGCTTCATTTTGTTAATGTATATCACATTTATAGATGTATGTATGTTGATCCACCTTGTATCCTTGGGGTAAATCCACTTGAGCATGGTAAGTTACCTTTTTAACGTGCTGTTGAATTCAGTGTGCTAGTATTTGATTGAGGATTCTTTCATCTATGTTCATCAGGGATATTGGCCTATAATTTTTCTTTTCTTTTCTTTTCTTTTTCTTGTTCTTGTCTGGCCTTGGTGTCAGAGTAATGTTGGCCACGTAAAAAAAGTTTGGAAGTGAAGTATTCCTTCCTCTTAGATTTTTTTTGGAAGAGTTTAAGGATTGCTAATTATTTCAGTGTTTGGTAGAATACAACAGTAAAGCTATTCTGGGCTTCTCTTTGATGGGAGACTTTATTACAATTCAATCTTCTTACTCATTTTTGGTCTGTTCATACTTTTTCTTCATGATTCAGTCTTGGTATCTTGCATGTATCTTGGAATTTATTTATTTCTTATACTTTATTCAATTTGTTACTGTACAATTTTTCATAGTACTCTCTTATGAGCTTTTTTTTCTTATGAGCTTTTATATTTCTATGGTATCAGTTGTAATGTCTCCCTTTTCACTTTTGATTGTATTAATATTTGAGTCCTTTCTTTTTTTTCCTTGGTCTGGCTAAAGGTTTGTTGATTTGTTTATCCTTCTGAAAAAACACTCTTTATTACATTGAGTTCTTTTCTATTGTAGTTTTAGTCTCTATTTTGTTTATTTCTATTCAGATCCTTGTTATTTCTTTCCTTCTGCTGACTTTGGGTTTAGTTTGTTCTTTTTTTATTAGTTACTAGAGTTGTAATATCAGGTTGTTTATTTTATATTTTCCTTTTTAAATTTTTATGGGTACACAGTGACTGTATATGTTTATGGGGTACATGAGATATTTTTCTACAGGCATACGGTGTATAATAATTACATCGCGGTAAATGGGATATTCATCACTTCAAACATTTACCCTTTCTTTGTGTTACAAACAATGCAATTATGCTCTTTTAGTTATTTTTAAATGTACTATAAATTGTTTGGCTATAGTCACCTTGTTGTTCTATCAAATACTAGATCTTACTTATTCTATCTAACTGTATTTTTATGCCGATTATCCATTCCTCCCCTTAACCCTACTATTCTTCCTAGTCTCTGGTAACCATTACTGTATTCTCTATCTCCATAAATCCAGTTATTTTAAGTTTTAGCTCCCACAAATAAGTGAGAACATGGAAAATTTGTCTTTCTGTCCCTGGCTTATTTTATTTAACGTAATAACCTCCAGTTCTATCCATGTTGTTGCAAATAACAGGATCTCATTCTTTTTCATGGCTGTATATTACTCGATTGTGTACATTAACCACATTTTCTTTATTCATCTGTTCATGGACAAACAGGTTGCTTCCAATCATGACTATTGTGAATAGTGCTGCAATATGCATGGGAGTGCAGGTATCTCTCAGATATCCTGATTTCCTTTCTTTTGTGTATATACCTACCAATGGCATTGCTGGGTCATATGGTAGCTCTATTTTTGTTTTTTTTGAGAAACCTCCAAACTGTTCTCCATAGTGATTGTACTAATTTACATTCCCACCAATAGTGGGTTCCCTTTTCTCCATATCCTAGCCACTATTTCTTACTGCCTGTCTTTTGGATATAAGCCATTTTAACTAGGGTTAGATGATTCGTCTTGCAGTTTTGGTTTGCATTTCCCTGATGAGCAATGATGCTGAGCACTTTTTCACATGCCTGTTTGCCATTTATGTGTCTTCTTCTGAGCAAGATCTTTTGCCCATTTTTAAATTGGATGATCAGAATTTTCCTATAGAGTTGTTTGAGTTCCTTATATATTCTGGTTATTAATCCCTTGCCAGATGGATAGTTTACAAATATTTTCTCCTATTTTATGATTCTTTTCAACATCAATTGAAATGATCCTATGGTTTTTGTTTTTAACTTTATGTGATGAATCACATTTATTGATTTGCATATGTTGAATCATCCTAGCATTTCTAGAATAAAACTCAATCGATCATGGTGAATTAAATTTTTAATGTGCTGTTGGATTTAGTTTGTTAGTATTTTGTTGAGGATTTTTGCAGCAGTGTTCATCAGGGATATTGGTCTGTAGTTTTCTTTTGTTGATATGTCTCTTTCTGGTTTTATATCAGAGTAATACTGGCCTAATAGAATGAATTTGGATGTATTCTGTGTTCCTATATTTTTTGGAATAGTTTGAATAGTGTTGGTATTAATTCCTCTATAATATTTGGTAAAATTCAGCAGAGAAGCCACCATGTCCTGGGATTTTCTTCGCTGGGAGACTTTTTATTAGGGCTTTGATCTCATTACTTGTTATTGGTTTGTTCAGGTTTTGGATTTCTTCATGGCTCAAACCTCATAGGTTGTATGTATCTAAGAACTTATCTATTTTATCTGGATTTTCCGGTTTATTGGCATATGGTTGCAAGTGATCCTTTTAATTTCTGCAGTATTGGTTTTATGTCTTAATTTTATTTATTTGGGTCTTTTCACTTTTTCTCTTAGGTAAAGTTTTGTTGATTTTGTTCATCTTTTCAAAAAACAAACTTTTCACTTTGTTGATCTTCTGTATTGTATGCTTTGTTTCCATTTCATTTATTACTACTCTGATCTTTATTATTTATTTTCTTCTAATAATTTGGGTTTGTTTGCTTTTGCTTTTTTAGTTTTTAAAGATACATCACTAGGTTATTTGAAATTTTTCTACTTTTTTGGTGTAGGCACTTGTAGCTATAAACTTTCACTTGCCAGGTTTTGGTATCAAAGAGATGCTGGCTTCATAGAATGAGTTAGGGGGGAGTCCATTCTCCTCATTTTTGGGAATAGTTTAAGTAGAGTTGATACTAGCTCTTCTTTGTATGCATGGTAGAATTTGGCTGTGAAACCATCTGGTCTAGGACTTTTTTGGTTGGTAGATTTTTATTGCTGCTTCTATTTTGGACCTTAATATTGGTCTTTTAGGGTTTTAATTTCTCCCAGATTCAATCTTGGGAGGTTGTTTCCAGAAATTGATCAATTTCCTCTAGATTTAGTAGTTTGTGTTCATAGAGGTGTTCCTAATAGTCTTGGAGGATATTCTGTATTTATCGGATCATCTGTAATGTCACCTTTGTCATTTCTTAATGTGATTATTTGAATCTTCTCTCTCTCTTCCTCTTGCTCTCGCTCTCTCTCTGTTACTGTAGCTGGCAGCCCATCAATCTTGTTTATCCTTTTAAGGAATCAACTTTTGGTTTCATTGATTCTTGGTATTAATTTTCTGGTGTATTTCAATCAGGTCTGCTCTGGTTTTAGTTATTTTTTTTTCTGCTAGCTTTGTTTTAGCTTTTCTAGCTATTCTGTTGGATGCTAGGTCATTAATTTGAGGTATATCTAACTTTCTGCGGTAATTGTTTGGTGCTATAAACTTTTCTCTTAACACTGCTTTTGCTGCATCCCAGAGATCTTGGCATATAGTGTCTCTGTTTTCAGTTATTTCAAAGACTTTTTTGATTTCTGCCTTAATTTCATTGTTCACCCAGAAGTCATTCAGGAGCAAGTCACTTAATTTCCATGTAGTTGTGTAGTGTTGGGTGATGTTTTTAGTCTTTATTTTTATATGATATACTATTCTAAGCTGACAACAATCACAACTGTATGCTTTATTTGCCAACAACAGCCGTACACTTTATTTCTCCTCTCCCACATTTTACGATTTTGATGTCAAAATATACATCATTTTCTTATGTGTATCCATTGACTATTTTTGCTCTATGTGTTTTAATAGATTTGTCTTTTAACCATTGTACTATAGGAAAAAATTGCTTTACACATCATCATTACAGTCTTAGAATATTCTGGATATGACTTTGTATTTCTTATCCCATTGCATTTGTGTTCTCATATGTTTTATATTTTTAATTAGCAGCCTTTTAATTCAGCTCAAAGAACTTCCTTTAGTAATTCTCTTAAGACATATTTAGTGGTGATGAACTCTCATAGCTTTTGTTTGTCTGGAAAAGTTTTTGCTTTTCTCTCATTTGCCAAGGACAACTTTGCTGGGTTAAGTAGACTTGTTGGCCTTGTTTTTTCCCTTCAGCACTTTGAATACATTATCCTACTCTCTCCTGGTCTCCTGAGATTTTGTTGAGAAATCCAGTGACAGCTATTTTGATATTCCCTTCTATGTGATATGCTTCTAATTACTTGCTGTTTTCAAAATGTTTTCCTTTTCTTTAATTTTTGGTATTTGAATTATTGTACATCTTGGATAACTCCTATTTGGCTTAAACTTGTTTGGATAACTCTGCATTTGCTGTGTTTAGATGTTAGCAACTTTCTCCAGATTTGGTAGTTTTTTAGAATTTCTTCTTCAGATATGCTTTCTGGTCTCTTTTCTATTTCTTTTCTTTCTGAAAACTCCTATTAGATGAATATTAGGTCTTAATAGTTTCCCTTCATATCCAGAGTCTGTCTTTATTCTTTTTCAATCTTTTTAATTTTTTCTCTTCTGACTGAATTATTTTAAATGTTTTGTCTCTAGCTTATTGATTGTTTCCCTTCTGCTTGATTGAGCCTGTTCTTAGAGCTTTCTATTGCATTTTCATTTCAGTCATTTTATTCTTTAAGATTTCTATATTTTTATTATTCCTATTTGTCAAACATGTTATATTGTTTATTATTTTTCAATTTTTTAAATTATCTACCCTTATATTATTGTAGTTCACTAAATTTTTTTTATTATACTTTAAGTTTTAGAGTACATGTGCACAATGTGCAGGTTAGTTACATATGTGTACATGTGCCATGCTGGTGCGCTGCACCCACTAACTCGTCATCTAGCATTAGGTATATCTCCCAGTGCTGTCCCTCCCCCCTCCCCCCACCCCACGACAGTACCTAGAGTGTGATGTTCCCTTCCTGTGTCCATATGTTCTCATTGTTCAGTTCCCACCTATGAGTGAGAATATGTGCTGTTTGGTGTTTTGTTCTTGTGATAGTTTACTGAGAATGATGGTTTCCAATTTCATCCATGTCCCTACAAAGGACATGAACTCATCATTTTTTATGGCTGCATAGTATTCCATGGTGTATATGTGCCACATTTTCTTAATCCAGTCTATCATTGTTGGACATTTGGGTTGGTTCCAAGTCTTTGCTATTGTGAATAGTGCCGCAATAAACGTACTTGTGCATGTGTCTTTATAGTAACATGATTTATAGTCCTTTGGGTATATACCCAGTAATGGGATGGCTGGGTCAAATGGTATTTCTAGTTCTAGATCCCTGAGGAATCGCCACACTGACTTCCACAATGGTTGAACTAGTTTACAGTCCCACCAACAGTGTAAAAGTGTTCGTTTCTCCACATCCTCTCCAGCACCTGTTGTTTCCTGACTTTTTAATGATCGCCATTCTAACTGGTGTGAGATGATATCTCATTGTGGTTTTGATTTGCATTTCTCTGATGGCCAGTGATGGTGAGCATTTTTTCATGTGTTTTTTGGCTGCATAAATGTCTTCTTTTGAGAAGTGTCTGTTCATGTCCTTTGCCCAATTTCGATGGGGTTGTTTGTTTTTTTCTTGTAAATTTGTTTGAGTTCATTGTAGATTCTGGATATTAGCCCTTTGTCAGATGAGTAGGTTGCGAAAATTTTCTCCCATTTTGTGGGTAGCCTGTTGACTCTGATGGTAGTTTCTTTTGCTGAGCAGAAGCTCTTTAGTTTAATTAGATCCCATTTGTCAATTTTGGCTTTTGTTGCCATTGCTTTTGGTGTTTTAGACATGAAGTCCTTGCCCATGCCTATGTCCTGAATGGTAATGCCTAGGTTTTCTTCTAGGGTTTTTATGGTTTTAGGTCTAACATGTAAGTCTTTAATCCATCTTGAATTGATTTTTGTATAAGGTGTAAGGAAGGGATCCAGTTTCAGCTTTTTACATATGGCTAGCCAGTTTTCCCAGCACCATTTATTAAATAGGGAATCCTTTCCCCATTGCTTGTTTTTGTCAGGTTTGTCAAAGATCAGATAGTTGTAGATATGCGGCATTATTTCTGAGGGCTCTGTTCTGTTCCATTGATCTATATCTCTGTTTTGGTACCAGTACCATGCTGTTTTGGTTACTGTAGCCTTGTAGTATAGTTTGAAGTCAGGTAGTGTGATGCCTCCAGCTTTGTTCTTTTGGCTTAGGATCGACTTGGCGATGCGGGCTCTTCTTGGTTACATATGAACTTTAAAGTAGTTTTTTCCAATTCTGTGAAGAAAGTCATTGGTAGCTTGATGGGGATAGCATTGAATCTATAAATTACCTTGGGCAGTATGGCCATTTTCACAATATTGATTCTTCCTACCCATGAGCATGGAATGTTATTCCATTTGTTTGTATCCTCTTTATTTCATTGAGCAGTGATTTGTAGTTCTCCTTGAAGAGGTCCTTCATGTCCCTTGTAGGTGGATTCCTAGGTATTTTATTCTCTTTGAAGCAATTGTGAATGGGAGTTCACTCATGATTTGGCTCTCTGTCTGTTATTGGTGTATAAGAATGCTTGTGATTTTTGTACATTCATTTTGTTTCCTGAGACTTTGCTGAAGTTGCTTGTCAGCTTAAGGAGATTTTGGGCTGAGACAATGGGGTTTTCTAGATATACAATCATGTCGTCTGCAAGCAGGGACAATTTGACTTCCTCTTTTCCTAATTGAATACCCTTTATTTCCTTCTCCTGCCTAATTGCCCTGGCCAGAACTTCCAACACTATGTTGAATAGGAGTGGTGAGACAGGGCATCCCTGTCTTGTGCCAGTTGTCAAAGGGAATGCTTCCAGTTTTTGCCCATTCAGTATGATATTGGCTGTGGGCTTGTCATAGATAGCTCTTACTATTTTGAGATACGTCCCATCAATACCTAATTTATTGAGAGTTTTTAGCATGAAGGTTGTTGAATTTTGTCAAAGGCCTTTTCTGCATCTGTTGAGATAATCATGTGGTTTTTGTCTTTGGTTCTGTTTATATGCTGGATTACATTTATTGATTTGCGTATACTGAACCAGCCTTGCATCCCAGGGATGAAGCCCACTTGATCATGGTGGATAAGCTTTTTGATGTGCTGCTGGATTCGGTTTGCCAGTATTTTATTGAGGATTTTTGCATCAATGTTCATCAAGGATATTGGTCTAAAATTCTCTTTTTTGGTTGTGTCTCTGCCTGGCTTTGGTATCAGGATGATGCTGGCCTCATAAAATGAGTTAGGGAGGATTCCCTCTTTTTCTATTGATTGGAATAGTTTCAGTAGGAATGGTACCAGTTCCTCCTTGTACCTCTGGTAGAATTCGGCTGTGAATCCATCTGGTCCTGGACTCTTTTTGGTTGGTAAGCTATTGCTTATTGCCACAATTTCAGCTCCTGTTATTGGTCTATTCAAAGATTCAACTTCTTCCTGTTTTAGTCTTGGGAGAGTGTATGTGTCGAGGAATTTATCCATTTCTTCTAGATTTTCTAGTTTATTTGCATAGAGGTGTTTGTAGTAATCTCTGATGGTAGTTTGTATTTCTGTGGGATCGGTGGTGATATCCCCTTTATCATTTTTTATTGCGTCTATTTGATTCTTCTCTCTTTTTTTCTTTATTGGTCTTGCTAGCAGTCTATCAATTTTGTTGATCCTTTCAAAAAACCAGCTCCTGGACTTTTTAGAATTCTTTGTCAGTCATTTTGCAAATCTCCGTTCCTTTAGGGTCCATTGTTAAGAGTTTTATTAGTTTATTTTGGAGGTGTCATCATTCCTCGATTCTTCACAATCCTTTTGTTCTTGCACTGCTGTCTGTTCATTTGAGGAGGTAGCTACCTCTTTTTATAGGTATTAGTTGGCAGGGATAGACTTTCATTATTTAGTCTAGCCTTTCATTCTAGATTGGCCAACTGGTACCAACCCTGGGAAGGTAGAGCTTGCTTTCTGCTTTCAGGTTCTCCGGATGGCTCAGCTTTTGTCTTTGCTCTGAGTTCAGTTGGGACTACTGGCTGGGCTCTGATTTTTGGTATGACCACTAAATGAGCTATGCAATCAGACAAAATTGCTTGCTCGGATGGTGATTGTCTCTGACTGGGCCGGGCCACAGGATGTATTTCCTGGCTGGATGGTACCACTATTTGAGTTCTGGAGTTGTATGGGGTTGCAGGCTTACTCATAAAGTTAAGTGGGGACACTGCTCAGGATGGAGAGAACAGCTACTACACTTGGTGGGAATGCACATTTGATGTTTGCCTTCCTGACTGGGTAGGACCTTGGGGTGGGCTTTGAGATTTGAGCCAAACCACTGTTTGGATTCCTTGTTGGGGTGCATATAGCCCTTTCACTTTGCCAAAATGCACTGCGGCAAGTATCTCCATCTCTGAGTGGGCTTTGGGGATGATTTTGAGGCTGAGTTGAACCACTGTTAGAGTCCCCAGGTAAGGCATTTCTAGACCCTACACTGTGCTAATAATGGGCTGTGGTATGCATCTCCCTGCCTGGCTGGGTCCCTGTTGTGGGTTTTGAGACTAAGCCAAACCACTGTTTGGGCTTCTGAGTGGGGCAGGTCTAGCCCTTGTACTTTACCAAAATATGCTGTGGTCATCTCCCCCTCTGGACAAGGCTTTGTGGTAGGATCTGGGGCTGGCATGGAGGCTGATTGTCTAGGGATTCAAGCCAGGTAGAACTTCCTATTTCCCGGGGCAACCAGCTTGACTTTGTTGGTTTGTTATACTGTTCGCTAATGCCCCTAATCACATACCACTGCTGGTGGTTACATAGACCTACCACCAAGATCTGCATGTTTGTCACTATGAGCTTTGCCTTCCTGCTTTGTTTCTACCTGACCACAGGTAGTCTAGCCATGCTATTACCCCTATGCTCCTTGCAAGGTGAGACCAGAGTTGGCTTCCTGGGGGAGGTATCTTGGAACACAGGGAACGTGAATGTCCACCTCTAGTTCTCTTTTCCTACTGTAGAAACTGTGGGCCTAGAAAAATTCTAAGTGGTGTTGTGCTGACTTGGGAGAAAGGGAGAGGTGATGTGGTCAGAGTGAGGCTATTCTTTTTACACTTCTCATGTGGCATTTTGTTTGGTTATTTAGTTCACACAGGTTTCTCAGGCTTAATCTTGAGTTTTGAAGTGTTCACATAGGAGTTTTTGTCTGTGTACAGTTGTTAATTGAACATTCTATGAAGGGTAGGGAAAACTGGGACCTCCTATTCTTCAATCTTCCTGATGTCACAGAGAATCTGCATTTTGAAAAGATCCATACGTGATGGTGATTGATATGGATATTAAAGTTGAGAACTACTAGGTTAAACATCTGTTTTCATGTGAAACATGAAAAATAAGCTAGATTTTGAGTTGCAATTATAGGGTAATACACATTTTTCAACTTTTTCATCTTTAATCTTGTTCATAAGAGGCTGCAACTGATCCAAAAACAACTTATTCCCAGGCTATAGCAAAGGTTTTCAAACTCAAACAATGTAGAATTACAAAATGTAGAGTTCACATCTTCTCTGGCTAAGATAATGTTGACTAATGAAAATAATGGTAGATTGGAAAATCTATTTGAGTTACTATACTTTCTTGTACCTAAGATAAAATACCCATATGATGATTATTGTTAATCCTCTACAGAAACATGATGAAAAGAAGTTTTAGTTGAGCAGAGGAGATAGAAAGCAAGATCACAGGGGGTTGGGGAGTGAATATGAAATGAAGAAGTAGAGGTTGACTATACTCTTTCATGTCACTTGGCACCCTCCAAAGTAAAAGGAATTTGATGTAATCAATTTGCCACCCATTGCTGGCTGGTTTTCTCAAAGATTGGTGCCATATTGAGGGCTTAACATTGGTTTCTCATCGAGGCTGCATCTTCAGTGGCTCAGTGATTTGTCACCAACCTTGGTAAGATAATGCCTGTATTTTTTGGCACGTGCATATTTTCCATTTATACAGCTTTCTTTATATTCCCTTTTATAAGCTCTGAGGTGAATGAAATCAGAGCTGACTGACATTTTTAGATGACTCATTCTTTTCACTTAGCTATTGAGTGCCTCCACTCTGGAGGATACTCTCTAATGGGCACAGAGTTGAGAAACAAAGATCTGCATACTTTGTGCTTATTCTCATAGGCCCATACATAGGCCTCCACCTCAAATTTCATTAAATCTGATTTTTCTGTATTTTGAGGGGGTTTGCTTAGTGAAACTTTTTTACAACAATCATTATACTACACATATCCTTATCTTGCATAGCAAGCTATTTCTCCCAACATTCAAAGTGGACAACTAAGTATATTGCTACCGAATCATTGGCTTACGAGGATTTCCTCCACCACTACATTCTATGGCTACTCTGGAGAGGCGTTAAGCTGCAGCATTAGTCAGTTTTTATCTTGTCTAAGTGTAGATTCAGACAATCCATTTGTGATCCAAGCCTGAGGCTCTTTCTTCATTTATTAGCTGGTTGTGTGAAATACCATGAAGCCATAGGTATGAACTGAGGAAGAGATATTGTCACAATGAAGGCATGTTTGTATCTTATGGAAATGCTTTTTACTGTATCTAATAGTTTTCAATTCATTCTATCAAGTGCCAGCAAGCTCAATATGAGATAGAATTTAATATTGGTAAGATAAGATTGGTTAATGATCAATTTGAAGATAATTACAAATATGGGCACTGTGCACATTTATAACAGTTGAGATTATATTTTATTAAGAATTTCTATCATTTTTTCTCATATAATTAAGAAATATAAACAAAACTGGCATGGACAGGTGAAACTCAGTGTTAAATTTATCAGCACTTTAAAGAGATCCCACCGTTGAAGTCAGTTTGAATGAAGTTCTAAATTGTTTGTATTTTCTTCCTATATAAAAGAGGTTTTCAGGCAAGTATTTAGCTATTTAATTTACATTTCACATGTGAGGTATAATAAAACAACCACTCTTTTCCCCAGAACTCATATAAATCCTGCCTTTCAAACCCAGAAAATATTCTCAACTCAGCTTCCTTGTGACACAAAAACTAATTGCAGTTGCACCTCATTTTGTGGAGCAAATAGCTATGATGGCTTACAAATTAAAATTCTGTAAACTACATTTCATATTGTGATTCCTTTTCATTAAGTTTTTGAGAGTTGTATTTGAAAAAATGGCATAGAACGAAACAAAAGTCAAAATTAAAGCAAGATATTAGTCAAATATTTTATAAAATGGATTTTAAGAGTTTTATTTTAGTACTGTCCAGCAGTACTCAAATAAGTCACACAGTATTAATACTAAATTAGTTATGGTATCAAATCCTGTGTTTAAACTGGGTTTACAACAAAGAAAGCTATATCCTGAGTAATGCTCACCTTTTTGTTTAGGTCTTTGCTGCACTATATTCCAGGTAACGAATCTGCTTTAAATTCCTAATTCTTGGTTGTGTACTCTCTGAAAAAACACTGAATATCAAACTAAGGCTATTAGTCTATTTATATAATGTAAAGACCACTTGCTACATTTTGACAAGCTGGACTACTTAAAACTTGGCTCTTTTTCAGCCAGTATCTCTTAGTGGATAATGATTGGATTATAGTGTTAATTGTGAGAGCAGTCTATGATATCTGTCACATGTGTTACCAATTGCTTTAGCTCAGTAATACAAAAAGGACGTCTGCATTCTTTTTAAAAAGTTGGGTTACATATACACGTTCTGATTAGCATAGACATAGAATTTTACATACGTATTATTCACTTCAACAGAAAATCTAATTCACTGTTGAAACATTCTTAAATAAGACCACAGTAATGCAGATTGTGGTGAGTGGTGTTTAAGATGTTAATGGCTCATTATTATAGCAGTTCTTAAATAAAACAATAAATTTGTAGACAAATATTCATGTATAATAAAGTTACATTTGATAAATGAAAATTCTCTTATTTATATTTTATTAACATCTTTTCCAGTCCTGAAGATTTTCCTCAGATAATCTTTCATCTCTTTGTTCCTGAGACTATATATTAGAGGATTACAGAGTGGTGTTATCACAGAAAAGAACAAGGTAATGATTTTTTCATTTTTACTGGGTGTGCTGATCCAGGACTAACATACATCACCATGATAGAGCCATAAAATAAGGTGACAACTGCCAAATGAGAGGCACAAGTGGAGAAAGCTTTTCGTTTGCCAGCCTCTGAAGGCATCCGTATTATAGCCAGAATCACCAGAGCATAGGAACAAAGGATAAAGAGAAAGGTGCCAATTATGAAGACAGAATTGAATGTGGAGTAAATGAGCTGGGTGATGATGATGTCTTCAGAACAGGACAGCATCTTCAATGGGACGGGATCACAAATAAAATGGTTGATAATATTTGGGCCACAGTAGGATAGCTGTGAAATGAGAATCACCAGAGTTAGGAAGATTACAAAGACACATGACCATGCAAAAATGATGAGGCCAGTGCATACTTGTTTAGTCATGATGCATGGATAACGTAGAGGGCGGCAGATGGCAAGATACCTGTCAAAGGCCGTGATGCAAAGGAAGAAGCCCTCATCATACCCCAAAGAGAAGAAGTAGAACTGTGCAAAACAACTCATGAATGAGATGGACTTGCTTGTGGAGAGGAAGTTGGCCAGCAGTTTAGTTGCAGTAACATAACATATTTCCAGGAGAGAGAAATTTCCCAAGAGGGTGTACATGGGAGTGTGAAGGTGCTGGTCCTACCACACAGCACAGACAATGGCTGCATTTCCCATCGGGGTGAGAGTATAGGCTACTGAGAAGAGACCGAAGTAGAGGAGCTGCATTTCTGGGCTTGAGGGAAAGCCCATGAGGATAAGGCAGCTAACAAAATTGATAGTTTCCATGCTGAACACATTCATTAGTCTGGAAGACATGGAGATGGCAGAGGTAACTGAAACATGAAAGGGAGTGTGCTGTTTCTTCTTGGAAACAACCAAAATTCTTCATCATGTATATTATAAAGTAGTAAACAATTAGACTTTTGTTTAAACAACAAAACTGTGACTTTCATGACTCAATTCCTACACATGTTTATTTTAATAAATCACAACAATAGAAGGGAAAATATGAATTGTGGAGAGTTTTTTTTCTTGCTAAGAACACTAGACTTGAAACCAGGAATGCAAATTTTGTGATTCCAATAAATTACCTATATACAATGGGTCTACTCTTTCTTCTGTTTACCTGCATTATTGATACTGTATTTATCTGGGTATGTAGTTCTTTCAACAGTACTATGAATACCTGATTCATTATTATTAGTGGTATAAAAATAAAATACAAAACCAAGATATTTAAAAATACTCTTTCTCAATATAGTGCCATGCCAGGGCACAAATTAATATTTACTTTCAATTTCAGCTACTCCCGGTTACTTGTAGTGTTTTAAAGTGGTAATAAGAAAGAACTCTGTCATTAGAGAATATATGGTCTTTTATGCTGTTTCATGTATCTGTACCAATGTTTAGCATAAAAAATACATTCTTTCATTTTTAGGCAGCTGGATACGCTATATGCTGTGAGGAAGCGTGCCATACTTTGGCTCTTAAATTGCTCTGACTAAATATTTTTATATGCTTCCAGGTGAATGTAAGAACTTCATATGCCTATTATGACATTGACCTTAGGGAGAACAGCTGGTCTGCGTGACTGTGGCCAAGTTCAATGTGCTTGTTTTTTGTTAACCATGGTCAAGTCAGCTGCAGGAAAATAAGAAAGGCAGATAAAGTTTATATTACAAAAGTTTCCATGTTTTTTATTCACTGCTTTCTTCCACATGTTCCTTTTCTTCCTTTGACCTTTGGTGTTATTTTGCATCTCACTGTGGTTGTTTTCTGAGGCCTTTCCTATCTAGGCAAATCCGAAACATAAAACTTTTCGCCTGATTACCCTCCGGTTAACTTCTAGCCCAAATAACAACAAAAACAAGAAAAAGTCATATGAGCTGAAGATTTTTGTTTCTTAAATAATAACTAATTTGTATAATACCAAGTCTTATTAATGTAATGGAACTGAAAAATCAGTATTTGGGCTTAAGAAAGAAAATATTGCTGGAAAGAGAAATATGCCATATTTCTTCTGCTCACCAAGTAACAAAAATTGCCAAAATATACCCTTCTCCAGCAATTCATCAGTTAATATACATCTTCACTTGAAATACTATTCTTTTTGTATAAATGGCTATTCATATTTTAAAGGGATATGAACCATAATTGGAAAATATTTTCCAGATTTCAGGGAAACAAGAAGAAAAACTTATATTTTTCAGCTTCATTCTTTGCCAGCTTTTCATTCTGAGATATATTTTTAGTTTTCTCAAAGACAAGAAGAAAACATTTTCTATGATTTTTGCAAAAAAAACTGGGTGACTCACATGTTATATACTTCCCATTCGCTCTTTGAGTGAATGCTGAGAAGGTCAGGGACAGGAGACAAAATATTATTCCCCAGAGCCAAAGACATGTGAAGAACTTCCAAGAAATTGCATGATCCTGTTTGTTATCTCTCATGGGTTGCAAAAAGTAAACCCTAAAAGATTTTCCCCACCTTCAAAGCATATATTAATGGTCAAAATGCAAGCTCAAGTGAGTGTATTATATATATCTATTTACTTGCACTATAGCCTTTTGGGACTTGGAGCTCTGTCTCTCTTGGGATATTTTGATAGTGTTTGTTTAAAAGAGGATAACATTTTGAATTTTCACAATCAAAAGCCAGTTCTTACTGTCCCCTAAAGAATAGTGAAAATGTAGAAGCAGATCTTATCTTTTCTTTCTTCTTTCGTGTTCATGTATTGTCAAAACTTCCTGAGGAATAATTAAGTAGTAAAAGGGATTGTCATTTTAGCTACAGTGGTTAGCTTTACCATAATACTCTCTAGATCTATTTTGAAGAAAAATCATTCTCTGGTCATCAAATATTTGTACCTGCAGAGTTATTAGAGATATTTGAGTTGAATTTTATGTAGAGCACAAGAAATTTGATTGACATTTAGTTATTCCACAGATATTTACTGAATGCCTACTGGATACTCAAACATATACTATATATATTTTTAATTTTTTGAGGAACCTCCATATTGTTTTTCATAATGACTATACAAATTTACATTACCACCAACAGTGTATAAACGTTCCCTTTTCTCTGCATTCTTACTGACTATTACCATCTTTTGTCTGATCATGAACATTCTGACTGGGCTGAGGTGCTATCTCATTGTGGTTTTGATCTGCATTTACCTGATGATCAGTGATGCTGAGGATTTTTTCATATGCTTTTTGGTCATTTGCACGTCATATTTTAAAAAATATCTAGTCAGGTTTTTTGCCCACTTTTAAATTGAATTATTTGGTGGTAGTGTTGTTTTTTGCTATTGAGTTGCTTGAGTTCCTTATATATTTTGAATATTAACCCCTTATCATGTATAATTTGCAAAAATTTTCTCTTATTCTGTAGGTCATTTTTTGGTTCTGTTATTTCTTTTGAGCAGAAGCTTTTTATTTTGATGTAACCTCATTTGTCTATTTTTGTTTTTCTTGCCTTAGCTTTTGCCTACATCAATGTTGTGTAGTTTTACAGCTTTAGGTCTCATGTTTTAGTGTTTAAACTATTTTTTGTTGATTTTTTGTATATGGTATGAAGTAAGGGTATAAGTTCGTTCTTCTGCATATAGATACCCAGTTTTCCGAATACCATTTATTGAAAAGACTGTCCTTTCCCCATTGTGTGTGCTTGGCAGCTTCGTCAAAATATTAGGTGACTGTGTATCACCTGTGGATTTATTTCTGGGCTCTGTATTCTATTCCATTGGTTTATGCATCTGATTTTATGCCAGTATCATGCTGTTTTGGTTACTATAGCTTTACAGTATACTTTGAGGTCAGGTAGTATGATGCCTCCAACTTTGTTCTTTTGGGTCAAGACTGCTTTGGCTATTCCAGGTCTTTTGTAGATTCCATACGTATTTTAGGATTGTTTTTTCTATTTCTCTGAAGGATGTCATTGTTATTTTGATAAATCCATAGCTTGTTTTGGGTAGTGTGAACATTTTAACAATATTAATTATTTGAATCCACGAATGCAGGATTATCTTTCCATTTATTTCTGTCTTCAAATTTTTTTCATAAGTGTTTTATGGCTTCATTATAGGTATCTTTCACATCCTTGGTTAAATTAATTCCTAAGAATTATATTTTTTTATTTTGGAGCTATTGTAAATAAGATTGTTATCTTGAATTCTTTTCAGACAGTTGATTATTACCACATAAAAGTGCTGCTGATTTTTGTATGCTGATTTTGTATTCTGCAACGTTACTGAATTCACTTATCACTTCTAAGAGTTGTCTTGATAACGTTTTTATGTTTTTCTCTATATAAGATCATGTCATCTGCCATGAGAAACAATTTGACTTCTTCTTTTCCAATTTCAATGCGTTTTATTTCTTTCTCTTGCTGATACTCTGGCCAAAACTTCCAATACTATATGAAATAGGTGTTGTGAAAGTGAGAATCCTTGTCGTTTTTCAGTTCTTAGAAGAAGGATTTTCTGTTTGTCCTACGTCAGTATGATTTTCACTGTGAGTTTCTGATATATGGCCTTTATTATGTTGAGGTATGCTCCTTCTATGCCTAAATTTGTTTAATTTTTATCATGAAGCAATGATAAATTTTATCAGATGCTGTTTTTGTATCTATTGAAATGATCATACACTTTTTGTCTTTTATTCTATCAGTGTAATGTATCAAACTTTTTGATTCATTTATACTGAATAACCCTTGAATTCCTGGAATAAAACCCACTTGGGCGTGGTGAACTGTCTTTTTAATGTGTTATTGGATTCGGTTTGCTAGTATTTTGTTGAGAATTTTTGCATCTAAGATCATGTTATTGCCTTGTAATTTATTTTCTTTCTTTTCTTTTTTCTTTCTTTCTTTTTCTTTTCTTTCTTTCTTTCTTTTCTTTTTCTTTTTTTCTTTCCTTCCTTCCTTCCTTTCTTTTTACTTACTTACTTTCTTTCTCTCTCTCTTTTCCTTCCCTTCCCTTCCCTTCTTTTCTTTCTTTCTTTCTCTTTCTTTCTTTCTTTCTTTCTTCCTTTCTTTCTTTCTTTCTTTCTCTCTCTCTTTTCCTTCCCTTCCCTTCCCTTCCCTTCTTTTCTTTCTTTCTCTTTCTTTCTTTCTTTCTCTGTCTTTCTTTCTTTCTTTCTTTCTTTCTTTCTTTCTTTCTTTCTCTCTTTCTCTCTCTCTCTCTTTCTTTCTTCTTTCTTTCTGACAGAGTTTCGCTCTTGTTGCTCAAGCTGGAGTGCAATGGTGCCATCTCAGCTCATTGCAACCTCCGCCTCCTGGGTTCAAGTGATTCTTCTGCCTCAGCCTCCCGAGTGGCTGGGATTACAGGTGCCCACCACCATGCCCAGCTATTTTTTTTTTTTGTATTTTTAGTAGAGACGGGGTTTTATCATGTTGGCCAGGCTGATCTTGAACTCCTGACCTCAGTTGATCCACCTGCCTTGGCCTCCCAAAGTGCTGGGATTACAGGTGTGAGCCACCGTGCCTGGCTTTTTCTTTTTTTTTAATTTACTTTAAACTTTGGTATGTATGTGGTAGGTGCATATATTTATTGAGTACATGAGATACTTAGATACAGGCATGTAATGCATAATAATCACATAATGGTAAATGGGGTATCCATTCCCCTCAAGCATTTTTATCCTTTTGGGTTACAAACAATTCAATTACACTCTTTTAGTTACTTTAAAATGTACAATTAAATTATAATACACAATAGTCATCCTCTTGTACTATTAAATACTAGATTTTATTCATTCTTTCTAACTACTTTTTGTGCCCATTAACCATCCCTACCTGCCCTCCCATCCCCCTAACCACTATCTTTCTCAGTTTCTGATAACTTTCCTTCTACTCTATATCTCCATGAGTTCAATTGTTTTAATTTTTAGCTCCCACAGTAGGATTTATCCCAGGGATGCAAGAATGGTTCAATATGTGCAAATCAATCAATATGATAAACAATAAACAGTATGAAGGAGAATAACCATATGATCATTTCAACTGATGCTGAAAAATTTGATAAAGTTCAACATCCATTCATCATAAAAATTCTAAAAAACTGGGTATAGAAGGAACAAACTGCAACATAATAAAAGCCATATATGACAGACCCACAGATAGAATTTTGCTGAATGGAAAGAAACTGAAAGCCTTTAATATCTGGAGCACAACAAGAATGCCAACTTTTACCACTTCATTGACTATAGTACTAGAAGTCCTAGCTAAAGCAGTCAGACAAGAGAAAGAAATAAAAGGCATCCAAATTGGAAAGGAAGAAGTCAAATTATCCTTGTTTGCAGATGATGTGATCTTGTATTAGGAAAGACCTAAAAACTCCACCAAAACACTATTAGAACTGATAAACAAATTTAGTAAAGTTGCAGGATACAAAATCAACATATAAAAGTCAGTAGCATCTCCATATGTCAACAGTGAACTGTCTGAAAAACAAATCAAGAAAGTAATCCCATTTACAATAGCTACAAATAAAATTAAATACCTAGGAATTAACCAAAAAAGTGAAAATCACTACAATGAAAACTATAAAACATTGACGAAAGAAACTAAAGAAGACACAAAGAAACGGAAAGATATTCCATGTTCATTAGCTGAAACAGTCATTGTTAAAATGTTATACTACCAAAAGCAATCTACAGATTCAATCTCTATCAAAATACCAATGCCATTCTTCACAGAAATAGAAAAAACAATCCTAAAATTGATATAACCAAATGACCCAGAATACCCAGAGCTATCCTGAACAAATAAACCAAAACTGGATAAATCACATTACCTGACTTTAAACTACACTATAAAGCTATGGTAACCAAAACAACATGGTACTGGCATAAAAAACAGACCCATAGGTCAATGGAACAGAATAGAGAACCCAGAAGCAAATCCGTACATCAACAGTGAGCTCATTTTCTACAAAAGTGCCAAGAACATACATTGGGGAAAGAACAGTCTCTTCAATAAATGGTGCTGGGAAAACTGGATATCCATATGCAGAAGAATGAAACAAGACCCCTATCTCTTGGCATATACAAAAATCAAATTAAAATGTATTAAAGGCTTAAATCTAAGACCTCAAAAAATTAAACTACTAAAAGGAAACATTGGGGGAAACTCTCTTAGATATTGGTCTGGGTAAAGATTTCTTGAGCAACACTCCACAAACACAGGTCACCAAAGCAAAAACGGACAAGTGGGATCACATCCAGTTAAAAAGCTGCTGCACATCCAAGGAAAAACAATCAATGTGAAGATCAAACCCACAGAATGGGAGAAAATATTTGCAAACTGCCCATCTGACAAGGGATTAATAACCAGGAAACAACTCTATAGGAAAAAACCCTAATAATCTAATTTAAAAATGGGCAAAGGATCTGAATAGAGATTTCTCAAAAGACAATACAAATAGCAAACAGATACATAAAAAGGTGCTCAAACACCATTGATCATCAGAGAAATGTTCCTCAAAGCTACAATGAGGTATCATCTCACCCCATTTAAAATGGCTTTTATCTAAACACAGGCAATAGCAAATGCTGGTGAGGAAGAGGAGAAAAGGGAACTCTCATACTCTGTCAGTGGGAATGTGAATTAGTACAACCACTATGGAAAACAGTTTGGAGATTCCCCCAAAAACTAAATGTAGAGCTACTTTACGATCTTGCAACCTCATTGCTAGATGTAGACCCGAAAGAAAAAATAGCAGTATAACAAAGAGTTATCTGCATTCTCATGTTTGTTTTAGCTTTGTTCACAATAGCCAAGATTTGGAAACAACCTAAGTTTCCATCAATAGATGAATGAATAATGAAAATGTGGCACATACATATACAATAGAGTACTATTCAGCCATAAAAAAAATCAGATCATTTGCAACAACATGGACGGAAATGGGGATTATTGTGTTAAGTGAAATAAGCTAGGCACAGATAGACAAACTTCCCATATTCTCACTTACTTGTGGGAACTGAAAATTAAAACGATCGAATCATGCAGATAAAGAGTAGAATGATGGTTACCAAAAACTGAGAAGGATGGTGGAGGTGTGGGATGTGGAAAAATGGGGATAGTTATGGGTACAAAAAGATATAAAGAATAAATAATATTTAGTATTTGATAGCACAACAGGGTGAATATAGTCAATAATGATTCAATTGTCATTTAAAAATAACCAAAAGAATATAATTGGATTGTTTGTAACACAAAGGATAAATGCTTGAGGGGACGAATACCCCATTTACCATGATGCGATTATTATGTATTGTATGCCTGTACCCAAATATCTCATACTCTATAAATGTATACACCTACTCTGTACCCACAGAAATAAAAAATAACAAAACAAAAAACATTGTTTAGCAAGCCCAGCTAAGGGTCATCTGACTCTCTAGCAAATGTGATTTTGTTTAACTTACTATATATGAATTATGGAATCTCAGACATTGTATAATTACATATAGCTAGATGTTATAGAAAACTGCTGCATTGTATCTTTTTAGTGTGGTAGAAAAGATAATCCCAAAGATTAAGGTCGTATTGCCCCTTTTTAGAGCTGTATGAAAAAATATGAATATTTTTGTTATGTTGATATTTTTAACTTTTAAGTTCAGAGGTACACGTGCAGGTTTGTTATATAGGTAAATCTGTGTCATGAGACATTAACTGGATTACATCAAATTTAACAATTTTATTTTAGTGTTCATTTTTTTGCTGTGATTATGTAAAATCACACTTTTCATATTCTTTTTGGAACGGACTTTGTTATCCTGCTATCCCTCGTTAATTAAATACAGTTTTTGATGTGTTCATTATGTATTTGTTTGAGAATTATGTTTTATGATATTTAAAAATTAGACTGACAGTCTATAAAAAATTAAATTACTAATGACAACAGCTGTGTTTTCTGGATACGATCTATGAATAAATGCCAGTAGGTAAGCTGCTTGAGGTTTCAAGAAATCAGGTGTTGTATCAAGACACTCTATATTACCTTAAAGGATAAATACCAAGCTATCCCTGGAATTATCTCAGAGATAAATACCTTAGGTTGGTATTTATCCTTCAGCTTCTGCTACTTCAAGGAGCATGATTGAGATAAAAACCAGTGAGAATCTTCTTCAGATACAGACTGAGGCATTGAAAATGGATGGCATATACAAACAAATCAATGACAAATTACAAATAAATCAATCCAAAGTAAGTAAAATAAGTGGGTTCTGTTATGCAACAGGTCTAATTGCTTCAGAGCCTGCAGGTCCCAAGGTCAACTTCCTAGCAAGAACTAAATTTAACAGAACTCAAACAGCAGCAGCCTAGGGAATCCCAGGGCTCATTAAGCTAAGTAGTGTTGTAAGAACCATAGCAACCTCAGATACAGCTAGAGTCCTAGGGATAGGAGATATTTCCAGTTCATACAGCCAGCCGTCAACTAGGGCTTGGCTTATAAGGAAGCAATTAAGACATGTGCTGGGCAGCTGTGATGGTCACCTGAGGATTGTCCATTTTGCTGGCCTGAGGCTGAAGAGAGGGTTGGTAGGATGAATGGCAGGATAACATCTTCCTTCCTTGAAACCACATAGCTTCTGACAAGCAAAGATGTAGGTTTCTCAGATATATTTACTCAAAGCTCCCCTCCCCTTCCTGCTCCTCTGTCTGACTCTGATGCTATTTTTATGTTTACTGTTGTCCTCACTCTTTTTCTCTATATACTCTGGCATTGATCATTTTTAAATTTAAGAGATCATTTGAGTTTTGTTGTTTTAAATTTACACTTAGAAACATTCACAGAACAGTGAAATTCCTATAGCATCAAGGAATTCTAGGGCTAGTGGCATCTTAGAAGACAGTTGCAATATTTGGATACGATAGGACCAAATTTACATAACTGAAGGCACAGGTTTCATGGCAATATTGTCTTAAGACTACCTAATTCTGTTATAGTCCCTTCTAGATTCTGTTTTCCATTTCTTTAATTATTAAAGTTTCTTTTTACTAAAATCTTCTTTACGTTCCACAGGTACAATATAGAATGCAATGTTTCAAACAAGGCCAAAGAAGTTTAGAACAGAAAGATTGTTTCTTTCTCAATAGAGAATACCACTATAGGTACCATCTTCAACTAATGGTGTCCACTTCTTGGTTTTCAGGAGAAATTTAAAAATGCATCAAATGCGTCTAAAAGGAATTCATATGGAATTGAAACTCCAGCTAGCCAATTATTTTCTATTGTTGAGATAGTCAAATTTCCTCCTCTAATAATGCATTTAGCTCCACACAGACCAAAATAAATACAAGACAAACATAATAGCAAAATATGGTATACTGTTATGCTTAAAACACACACATGCACAAGTTACCAGGAGAAAAATTTTACTCCTTTTCTTCATATTTTCCTCATAAACATCTCTGGTTCCTTGTTTAGAAAGACAAGAGACCAGCTGCTCAGCTGTACACAAGTAGCCTTTGATTATTTAAGGTGCTTTAGTTTGTCCTCTTCTCTCTAAGCAGGACCCTTCCATAAAGACTTTCATTTTGCATTAAGCATTCTCAATTTTTTTGGCTCATTTTGTGTACTTAAAAATATTTTTATTGACTTTTTCACATTCTTAGGTTATTTTTAGGATATGAAACATGAAATGCTTGGTAGGGTCTGATCTTACTGCTAATGGGATAATGGAGCTGGTATTTTTGAATGTGGCTTTCCAAGCTCTGCAGGGCTTTGGCAAGGGAAATTATATTGTGACTGGGGTTAGTTTTGGGATGTAGACATTCGTTCATGTTGTTGGGTGTATTGTTCTTTTTATTCTTTGCAGAACAGTGACAGGCTTAATTTCCTACTGTGATCAGACTTCAGAAGCTGGGAGATGACTCAACCAAATGTGGAAATGTTATTAAACCTAAAAGGGAGCTTTCTATATTGTTTAGTATTATGTTTTATATTGTCTGAAGATTGCAAATTTACTGTCATTAAAAAAAAAATCCAAGAATAACCAGAATCCAGCCCTTACCTTGATTAAAACTCAAATAACTAACATACAGGGCTGCCTATTTTTAACTTATGCAAGTGTAAAGATTTTTATATCATTATTAATCAAAATCTTATCACAGTAATCACCTAGGAACTGTCCAGAATATTTATAGTGCTGAAATTTCCTAATATTAAATCTTACTTTAAACAAGTAGGCCATAAAATCAGGCTTATAAATGGTTTGTAGTAATTTGGGTTATAACATATTTTACATATTCTTCTCTTATTTAATCTATCCTTCTGATTTATTTAATTTTAATATTGTCTGTTTTAATGTAATCTTTTCTTTCCCAACATATGTTCAGTGGAAATAACAAGTGTACCGTACACCCTTGGTATACTATGCCCTTCACATTAGGAAATAATCACATTGTTTCTCAGCCATATTCTGAGACTAAATTATAACAGTGTGTAGGATTATGTGTTCCCATTGTTTTCTGGCTTCTAGAAACCTTTTTTAATTAAAAAAATAACTTTGGTTTCTCTTTCTCAGACTTTTCCAGTTTTCCCAAGATTATTTTAAAAATTAGATGCATAATTTTAATGAGACTTGACCCCTGTTAATTATACATTTTAGATAACTGAAAAGAACATCAAAATGATGTTTTCTTATGGAACTTTACAATCCTTGGTGCATCCAAAAAAGATTAGAGAATTTCCAATATAGCAGAGCTCAAGTAGGGCTGTACACATAACAGCAAATCGTTCCCTAACTTGTATTTCTTGCTTTGGTTTATTTTCCAATTGACTCTAGAAAGTGAGGTGATTCCTTCTATCAGTTATGAGATTATAGATTTAGATGCACCTGTGCACTTGGCTATATAGGCAGATGAAGAGGATGGTCACAATCATGGTGTGACAGAGGCGTCCAAATGTGACTTGAGCCCCAAATCTCTCTCTCACTGGCTTATCTTGGAATAATACCCTAGAGAAAGTTTTCTTGTCATTAGAGGTTTTCATTTTTAGAATTTAAGTACTTTTCTGCATTGTCTATGTAAATACCTGATATCTATTATGAAGGATTTTATTGGATAACATTCTCTGAATGACTTGATAGAACCAAGTGCAACATGGATTACAAAGCTTGGAACACAAAATAAAATCTTGTCTTATTTCATATTTTGTCTATAGCTGATTCTAGATAAAAAAAAATTCTAGACAGGGAGACATCTACTAATTTTTAACTACTGCAATGGAAGAAATGTATCAACATTCTCTGATTTTCTGTTTGTAATCCAAGGTATTGTCACCAAACATTGGGGATGAATATGAGTGTAGAGCAGGGAAAATGGATCTAACAATATCTTAGCAAATCTTTTATTTTCTTATGTATCTATGGTTGTTGAAAAGTCCAGAAGCAACACAACTGTGGTTTCTCTTATTACTTTGTCCTGTAAAAGGGTCATGGTGGGCTTTTGTGCATGCCTCCACGATATGGGTCATGGCTCTTGGTCTCTTGTCTTGGTGATTGGTGTCTTTTAATCATTGTCCTACTCATCCCCAGTCTGATGCTTCCCTAAATCTTAAAGATTGAGACTGTTTCTTCTTACCTCATTTTTACAAACTTCCCAATCTCTGTAACCTGGGATAGTAAAGACAAAAAATATGAGCTTTTTCAATCCTTCCTAAATGATTTGTTTCCTAATATATTTATTCACAGTAACTACTAAACTTTGTACAACATAGCAATTTGTTGTTTACAAAACATTCTTCCTTCGATTTGATAAATTATTGAGCTTCTGCTATGCAGTAAATATTGTGTTGTGGATACAAAGATGAGTAAGATATTTCCTCATCTTGAGAGATCTAGTTTTTTTTTTATGGTGCACATAGGCATTACATTTGATTCTCAGAACAATCTTGGGAGATATTATTAACTCTGCATTAAATTGAATAATCAAAGAACAAAATTCAGAGAGGTTTATTTCCTTGCCTGAGAGTACTCCATTGGTAATGGTGGAGCTAGGCATTCGATCTAGATACTCCATTCCAGAACTTTTGTCCTTAGAGGACATTATTCTGTCTATTAAAAGAAATGGAAAGATTAGCACTTACCACCTCATGTCCAGGTCATTGTGTTTCTTTCTAGTTTATTGTGAATGCAATTTAAAAGTAGTACAGGAATAAAGAGTTGGAAGAAGTGAACAAAATTCAATGTTCTATCAATATAAGACTACTGCCTATACTACCTCATAGAATTTGCTAAAATAATTTTTATGTAATTTATGTATTACATACTATATATATAGTGTATATCTATATCTATCTATATAGATAGATAGATACATAGATAGATTGATACCTTAAATCTCCCTTGTTCTGATTTAATTCTTCTTTCTCTAGGTCACTTGATATTCTTGGCTTGATGAAAAAAAACAAGATTCTAACGTGACAGAACTTGTTCTTCTGGGCCTATCATCTTCTTGGGAGCTGCAGCTATTTCTCTTATTACTATTTTTGTTTTTTTACATTGCTATTGTCCTGGGAAACCTCTTGATAGTGGTAACAGTGCAAGCCCATGCTCATCTGCTCCAATCTCCTATGTATTATTTTTTAGGTCATCTCTCTTTCATTGACCTATGCCTAAGCTGTGTTACTCTGCCAAAGATGTTAGGGGATTTCCTACAGCAGGGCAAGAGCATCTCTTTTTCAGGATGCCTGGCCCAGATCTACTTCCTCCACTTTCTAGGAGCCAGTGAGATGTTTTTGCTGACAGTTATGGCCTATGACAGGTATGTTGCCATCTGTAACCCTTTGCGCTACCTTATAAGTCATGAACCCCCAGCTATGCCTTTGGTTGGTTCTTGCCTGCTGGTGTGGGGGTTTTATCCACTCTATCATGCAGGTCATACTAGTCATCCAGCTGCCTTTCTGTGGCCCCAATGAACTGGACAACTTCTACTGTGATGTCCCACAGGTCATCAAGCTGGCCTGCATGGACACCTATGTGGTAGAGGTGCTGATGATAGCCAACAGTGGTCTGCTCTCTCTTGTCTGCTTCTTGGTCTTACTATTCTCTTATGCTGTCATCCTGATCACCCTGAGAACACACTTCGGCCAGGGCCAGAACAAGTTCCTCTCTACCTGTGCTTCTCACCTGACAGTGGTCAGCCTGATCTTCATGCCATGTATATTCATCTATTTGAGGCCTTTCTGCAGCTTCTCTGTGGATAAGATATTCTCCATGTTTTACACAGTGATGACACCTATGTTGAGCCCCCTCATCTACACACTCAGAAATGCTGATATGAAGACAGCTATGAAGAAGCTGAGGATAAAACCATGTGACATTCCATTTCCTTGTTAAAGAATGAGCAGAAAAGGTGATTTGAAAAACATACTCTTTCTTGGAAGACTCTTAACTCATCTTGTACATGTCTAAAAACCATTTTGATGACTTTGGTATAAAAAAGAAGATAGCCTAAAGATTATAATAGATCACTCTTGATTACAATTTAAAAGCACAGGTGGCACTCTGGAAAGCCACCTATGCCTTTTGACCATAATCAAGAGAACTCGGGAACTCAGTAGAATTTACTGGCCACAAATGATAACAAGCATTAATTGAAAGATCAACTTTTCTATCTTCATGTTCTAAGTACTCTTCATTTATTCAATTTGTTCCACTTTTTAATCTATTCAAATGAAACAAGATATATCTCTTTTTGTGTTCCTTTCCTCCAGCATTTAATGATTCCTAGTGTTAGGAAGTTCCTTCTGATGTCTCATCAGATCCTCTTCTGAAGTAGTGTGAATTTCTTTGTTCTGTTATAACAAAGCCTGAGAACAGTAACAACCACCTATGTAGTAGTATTTACCTCAGAACTGTGTTCCACAGTGTCCCAAGTTTTAGAAATGTAGTCAGGCATCACTCTAATGAACATATGCTCTTAACAAAGTTTATGTGTGAGAGAAAGGAAGTCCAGGAGTGCAGGGGTGATGGAAGCTGTTAGTATTCTGTTGTAGAGGCTTCTCAAGAAGAGGTACCCAGTTTCACATTGAGTTTTTCTTTGAGTGGAATTACAGTGAGGGTGAATAGGTAAGCTGGCTCTTCAACTGACCATAATGTTTAAGAGTTTTAGCCTCGAAAGGAGGAAGAAATGAACTGTGGTTGAAAGCACTCATTCTTGAGATGCTCACAGTTATTACCTCTGAGTCTCAAACATGTTTGAGGAATAAATTTACCTAACTTCATTTTTGAAAATGAACTCTGAGTTAAGTGACTTGCCCATGACCACTTAGAAAAAATGTAATCAATCAAGAAAGCTGCTTGTAATCCCAGCACTTTGGGAGGCCAAGGTGTTCAGATCATCTGAAGTCAGGAGTTTGAGACCAGCTTGACCAACATGGAGAAACCCCATCTCTACTAAAAATACAAAATTAGCCGTGCATGGTGGCGCATGCCTGTAATCCTGTAATCCCAGCTACTCAGGAAGGCTGAGTCAGGAGAATCACTTGAACCCGGGAGGCAGAGGTTGCAGTGAGCTGAGATCGCACCACTGCACTGCAGCTTGGGCAACAAGAGCAAAACTCGGTCTCCAAGAAAAAAAAAAAAAGAAAGCTAATAATTATATAATTAAGTTAATATTTTATTTCTCCTCAGAAAGTGTATTTATCCCAATTATACAGATTGCTTCTTTCTTTCTCTTTCTTTCTGTGTCTCTTTCTCTCTTTCTTCCTTCCTTTCTTCTTTCTCTTTCTTTCTTTTTTTTTTTTTTGAGACAGAGTCTTACTCTTGTCTCCCAGGCTGGAGTGCAGTGGCACGATTTTGGCTCACTGCAACCTCTGCCTCCCAGGTTCAAGTGGTCCTCCTGCCTCAGCCTCCTAAGTAGCTGGGATTACAGGCACCGGCCACCATGCCTGGCTAGTTTTTGTATTTTTAGTAGGGTCTCTCCATGTTGGCCAGGCTGGTCTTGAACTCCTGACCTCAGGTGATGTGCCTGCCTCAGCCTCCCAAAGTGCTGGGATTACAGGCATGAGCCACGACACCTGGCTAGATTACTTAATTTCTATAATACCTGTATAGGAGCTTCAGAGCTGGAAGATCCCTAAAAAGGTTAACTTAAACATTTATATTTAAGATTATCTATCTCTGACATAGGATCCTTGCAATATTTTATGGCTATGAAAAGTCTTTATTCTATTTACTATATAATAAGATAATGACAAATTTTTATAATGTTTTTTATATTTTGTCACTTTGTCTCCTAATGAATTGCCATAGAGAGGTATTTATGATTACTTAGCTGAAAAATATACTTGTGAAAAAAAGTCTGAAACTCCATCTAATACTAGGATATACTGGAAAATGCCAATAACCCTGGTCATGTAAGAGCTTTCTTGATATAGGGACAAAAAATGTATTTTTATTTTTGTGTTGGGAGTTAATGACTTCATATTTAAGAAGCCATATGTACGTATGTGTATATGTATATATTGCTACAGAAGGACTCCTCACAGACTAGGAACTAGGCTGCCATTTGGGAGATTTCTAAATAGTATGGGTGAGGGTGAGAATGGCATACCTGGAACATCATGTTCTTCTTTTTTGCTTTACTCTGCTCTACACTTTTAGAGTTTTTTGCATACGTTGAATATCCTGAAGAGCAGTATGATATCCTGAAGGTAATATTTTGAATATCCTGAAGTACAGGAAACTGCCCGAGAGTAGTGTGTGAGTTACCAGAAAGATTTGAGTGGTGCTAGGGATTACCAGGCATGTTTCAAGAACATAGAGCTCCAGGCTTTCTCTTAGTATAAGCCGGCTGCAACATCCCCTTTTTCTGATGCTCTCTTTCATAGCAAAATGTATAGTCTTGGCAAATCATTTTAAATGTCCTGTTGATAGCTGGAATTGGTAGCGTTATTTTAAGAAAAGCAAGAGCGTTTTGTATTCCCTTTTGCATTTTCAAGTCTCTCTTTGTTTCCAGGAACAAAGCCTACTTGATCGTGGTGAATTAACTTACTGATGTGCCGCTGAATTTGGTTTGCTAGTATTGTGTTGAGGATTTTTGCATCTATGTTCATCAGGATATTGGCCTGATGTTTTCTTTCTTTGTTTTGTTTCTGCCAGATTTTGGTATTAGGCTGATGCTAGCTTCATAGAATGAGTTAGGGGGGAGCCCTTCCTTTTTGATTTTTTTGGGAATACTTTCAGTAGGATTGGTACCATTTCTTCTTTATATGTCTGGTAGAATTCAACTGTGAATTCCTCTGGTCCTGGGCTTTTTTTGGTTAGTAGAGTTTTTTTTTTTTATTACTGATTCAATTTCAGAGCTTGATATTGACTTATTAAGGATTACAGTCTCTTCCTAATTCAATTTTAGGAGATTGTGTTGTTCCAGGGATTTATCCGTTTCTTCCAGATTTTCTAATTTGTGTGCATAGAGTTGTTCATAGTATTCTCTGAGGACCTTTTGTATTTCTGTGGGATCAGTTGTAATGTCATTTTTGTACTTTTTGACGGTACTCATTTGGATCTTCTTTTTTTTTTACTATTTTTTTAATCTAACTAGCAGTCTAACAATCTTATTTTTTCAAAAGACTAACTCTTGGTTTCATTGACGTTTTGTATAGATTTTTGCACCTCACTTTCATTAAGTTGTTCTCTAATTTTTGTTATTTCTTTTCTTCTGCTAGCTATGGAGTTGGTTTGTCCTTTATTTTCTAATTCCTTGAGGTGCAAAGTGCAGGAGGATGAAGCTAGACCCTTGCTTTTCAGCATGTAAGAAAATTAACAGGATAGATTAAAGATTTAAATGTAAGGCCACAAACTATGAAAATCCTAGACCAAAATCTAGGAGATATTTTTCTTGACATTGGCCTTGGGAAAAAAATTAGCTAAGTCCCCCCAAAGAAATTGCAACAAAACCAAAAATTGACAAGTGGGACCTGGGTAAACGAAAGTGCTTCTGTACAGAAAAAGAAACTATCAAGAGGGGAAACAGACAACTTACCGAATGGGAGAAAATATTTGCAAACTATGCATCTGACAAAGGTCTAATATCCCAAATGTAAATAGAACTTAAACAATACAACAGACAAAAAACAAATAGCCCTATTAATAATGGGAAAAGGACACGAATAGATCCTTCTCAATAAAAAGACATGCAAGGAGCCAACAAATATACAAAAAAATGCTTATCACTAATCATCAGAGAAATTCATACCAAAACCACAATAAGATACCATCTCATGCCAATCAGAGTGGCTGTTATGAAAAAGTCAAAAAACAACAGATGCTGGTGAGCCTGTAGAAAAAAGGGAGTGCTTGTACAGAGTTGTTGGGAATGTAAATTAGTTCAGCCTCTGTGGGCAAAATTTTGGAGACTTCTCAAATCACTTAGAACAAAGCTACTATTTGATCCAGCAATCCTTTTTTTTCCTCTCTCTCTCTCTCTCTGTGTGTGTGTGTATATATATATATAAAATATTTTATATATATATAATATTTTATATATATAATATTTTATATATATATAATATTTTATATATATAATATATTATATATATATATAATATATTATATATATATAATAGATTATGCCAAAAAGACCAAAAAGACACACACAGTTGTATGTTCTTTTCAGAACTATTCAGCAAAGACGGAATCAACCTAGGTGCCCATAAATGGTAGACTAGATAAAGAAAATATGGTACATACATTATCAGATACTACACAACCATACAAAAGAATGAAATCATGTCTTTTGCAGCAACATGAATGGAGCTTCAGGCAATAATCTTAAGCAAATTCATGCAAGAACAGAAATCCAAATACTACATGTTCTCACGTACCAGTGGGAGCTAAACATTAAGCACACATGGACATGTACATGGGAACGGTAGACACTGTGGACTACAAAAGGTGTGATGAAGGGTGGGGGGATGGGTTGGGAAACTACCTGTTGGGTACTATACTTACTACCTTGGTGCAATAAACCCACGTAACAAACCTGCACATGTACCCTCTGTATCTAAAATAAAAGTTGAAATTAAAAAAAGAATGAAAGGGAATGAATAAAGCTGATGTTTATAGGCCCTCCCAAAATTTCTGGCTCATAACATGCTTTCAAAGATTTTATAAAATCATTTTTAAATTTAATAATTTTTAAAATTTGGAATGGTTATAGATTTACAGAAATGTTGAATATCACATAATATAATTATACCTCATGCTATTTTCCTTATTGTTATATTACTATGGTACATTTGTCAAACTAATATTGATACATTATTACTAACTACATTGCACTTTTCATTCAGATTTCATTAGTTCTTAATGAAACGGCTTACTCAAGTTGTCTATTTTTTATTTATCATGGCAGTTATTTAATTTATTGCCGTTATGTCCTTTATATTCCCAAAAAACTTTTTGTAATTATTCTGTAAATAAATACTTGAAAATACTTGGTGAGCTTCCATTACTTACAGGAAATGGTGAAATCTATAACATAAATACAGTGCAGTTCTAGTTTTTATCTTTTTAAGTGAATATTTGACTTCCCCCCACCACTCTGTTCACATCTGTGCATGGTTTCTTATTTATTTATTTGACATGTAAAACTTGTATATATTTGTCATGTACATGATGTTTTGAAATAAATATGTCTACATAGTAAAATGGCTCAGTTGAGTTGATTAGCATATACATCCTAGCCCTACCAGTCTCTCCCTCTTATTTCATCAAACCTATACTTTCTTGTTTGCATGTTCTATCCTGCCTCAGATTCTGATACACATATGAGATTCTGTAGGGGTGTAGGGTCTGCATGGTGATAAGAAAATCTAGGATAATAACTAAGATTTCTCATACTACAACACCACTCTACACCTTAGGCCTTGTTCTAGTAGAAAAACTTGTTCCAAGATCAATTATCAATCCTAATTCCAATTTTTGCCCAGTCCTGCTCCACAGTTTGAACTTCTGAACTATGTGCAGCTTCCTCATATTTCTATGTTTCTGAACATGCTGCTACTTCTGCTGGAATTCTTGACCAACTTTTCACCTTCAATACTCTAATTAAAAGTGTTGTTTTCAGCCAGCTTTCAGCATGGTTTTACAAGGAGTTATTTAGTAGAGACTACACTTGCACCTCTGCCTAATCATATTCTCCAGCTGCTTACCCAATCACTTGTGCAGCATTTCTCTCAGGGTTTTGATGATGCATAAAGATTGCGGAGAGTTTCTTCCCTTTGGCATCCAGGAATGTAGAAGTCTTTTGCATACCAAGGTTAGAAGCTATGGCATGGTTGTAAACTCATAAAATACTATCTTTGTGAGGGAGAGAGAGAGAGGAGAGAGAGAAAGAGAAAACAAACTCAAGACCACTTTTTAGACTGTACAAGAGGAAATGTGGCATGTATATAAGAGAAGCATCATTATATAAATCTGTCTTTTAGTGTGCGTATCTTGGTATCAATCACATTTTTATTTCAAAGGCTTTTCTGATCCAAGATCTCGGATTGTTCAAATCCATGAGGTGGGACCACACTCAAGAAAAAGTCCAGGGTAAGCTTTCCATCTAGAATGATACCTTAACCACCAGTGAAAGAAGCAAGGTCAATTTTCATTGATTCAAATTATATTCAAAGGTAAATTCTTTACTTCTGTAAATTATTCACCTGCTTTACAACGTCTGTTCTAGTAATTAATTTAAGAATTAGTATATTACAATTTAAAGTGTGTATCAATATAATTTCAGTTGGAATTTAGTCCTAGGTTTACTAGGTTTACCACCATCAGTAAACTTAGATAATTTAATTCCCTCTCTTGACCTTATTTGTTTCCCAGTGGTTAGATGAGTGTGAAAAAATCAATCTCTAAAATCTCTTATACATAGATAAGTATAGGACTTAACAAATTATGCTTCAGTCTAAGATGATTTAAGGAGATCATTTAAAACTGCTGCTCTAAAATAAATGGTTTTATGTCAGGAATTGGGTCGTGCTCCTCGTTTTATATTCACAGTGCAGTACCAGACACAGATAATATGTTTAGTAAATATTAAGTGAAAGGATAAATTAATATTGGTACTTAAGAAATATAACTCAAATAGATGATACCTTAAGCAATCTATATATTGTGCTATGCTAACTCATTTGCAGATTTTTTTCAATATTTATCCTTATATTTCAGCTCCACAAAGACTAGTAATTGTTTCCTCAATTGGAGCCAATTAGAGGAACAGGATAGGATTAATAAGTAATAAAATAATGTCAGGTAACAAGAGACATAAAAACATGCACATGTGTTATAATGTCTCTATGAGGGATATTGAAGTCAAGAACACTATTGCACGAAAAGTTTTCCATGAGATAGAACTTGCTGTTAGGAAAGAGATCTAGAATAGTATATGGCTGCCCTTTGTAAATCCCTCATGAGAGGAACTAAGACAGTCTCTTTCCCAGAAGATTCCAAGAGTTGCATTCTTTGAAATTGTTCTATTGGAAATAATTTATGTAGGCTCATGGAGTTAAACAAAGGAGGAAACATTTTTCTTTAACTACGCAAATCTTATTTCAACTAATATATATTCTTTAGCATTGTCTTAGAGAGATCAAGTTTAACCTAAGAACCTGGGTAGACCAGTAGAAACAATCCACCCCATAGAGGCTCTGGTTCATAGAGTTCAGACGTCTGATACTGGTGTTCCTGAAATTCTACCACAAAAATGATCAAGAGTTAGTTTGGCAGATTGTTTATTGCTTTTTTGTCCATTATCTAATTTGAGTCTTACCATGGGTAGCATTATCTCACAGGGGAGATTAGTAGATGCTAGAAAAATTATGTTAATGTTACACAGTCTGAAGAGGCAGAGCTGTGAGTTGTTCTATCTTTAAATCTTGTGCAGTTTCTCCCAGCAAAGATAGCAAAAAGATCTTGGGTCCTAGACTATGATTAATTTGATGAACTCCTCAGGAGGAGTCTAGATAAAGTTGAGTTGTCACCACTCAGGGTGAATAGATCAGCTTCCCAAACATCTTTGGGCATCCATGCTTGAACTCTTAAATACATCTATGCAAGAATATAGAATGTACTCTGTTGCTGCTCCAGTCAAAGGAGTATACTTGGGAGGGTAGGTGTGAGCAGTAGATACAGTCTAAGATTTGGACAAGCATAAGCATGCATATAGGTGAGAATCAGGAGATTAACATAGTAAGGAGGTTAGTGTTCTAAGATGACTCCTATCCAGGCTTCTGTCTCTCCTTCCAATCAACATTTTCTCTGATAGCAAAGATGGATAATGATAATTATATATTTGCTTAAAGTATGTTATGCACATAAGTGCTTTATATGTAATATATTTAATATGTATAACACTCTATATAAATGTACTATTCTTATCCACATTTTACACTTGAGAAAACTGAGGCAAAGGGAAGTGAAGTAACTTGCCTAAAGTCATAAAGTTAGTAAATGCTGAAGCTGAAATTTGAAAGTAGACCAGTTAGGGTTCCAGGCATCTTTTTCACAACTTCTCTCCCCCACCTTCCATCGCAGCTACTCTACTCCTGTGGCTGGATCTTTCTTTATGGCACCCCAATTAATTCAATTGCTAACTTTTAAGCTTAACACACAAGACTCTGTAATCTAGACTTGCCTTCTTGTCAGCCTCATCTCCTGACACTTTCCTATGTGGATTGTGTGCTGAATCATACTCAACTTGCTGGCACTCCCCAAAGAGGATGGTGTAATGATTTTTACCTTCACATATTCTATTTGCTAGGCCTGGAAAGTTCTTCCTGCCCTGTCTATTCTTTTGTGCCCACACCCTGCAATCCTCATCATCATCAGGTTAACTCTAACTCATCTATCAGAATTCCACTCAGTGACAACGTTTGAAAAGGCAGTCCTGTCTCTCCTGGGCTTCCTTCCTGAGCCCCTTCACAGAGAACTGTCACAGTTTACATGTGGACCTCCTCCACTTGATTGAGAATACTTGCCAAATCAAATAATGACTGAATGAATGATCAGTATCACATCACTTGTTATTACATCCCCACTGTAAATTTAATTTGAGAAAAGTTGGCACAGACTCTATGCTGTGATGATCTTGCTAGTTGCAGCTATAGTCTTTGTCTCTAAATAGTGTATATAATTAAAAAAAACTTTTCATGATTAGAAGAAAAGGAGTCTTTTGATTATTGTAGAAGGTTTAAGGCTTTCAAATGAGAAACATATTTGGTGGCTTTGATGCCATCAGACCCAGGATATGCATAGTAGTTAGGAAAATAGATCCTGAAGACTCATTGCGTGGGTTCAAATACCAACTCTGCCAATCACTAGATCTATAACCTTGGGCAAGTTACTTACTCTTTCTGTGCTTCAGTTTCCTCATTTCTGAAGTGGGAATAGTAGTGATGGACTACTTTATAAGATCATTGTGGGAGTTAAATGAGCTATATGTAAAACATCTAGAATCAAACTTGGCATATAGTAAGTACAATGTGTTTTCTGTTTACCTAAACATTTTTTCAGCCCTTATGATTTTGCCAACTGGTGATGACTGAGCGCAATTTGACTTTGCTGGTATAGGACGCCGATTATTTAAAGATTTTAGGAATGTGAAACATATTCTCCAATTGAAGGACTTTGCACGATAAGGAAGCAATTGTTTAAATTCAATTCTTTTTGTGGTGGCAGGTGACAGTAATCCCAGCTACTTGGGAGGCTGAGGCAGGAGAATCACTTGAACCCAGGAGGCGGAGATTGCAGTGGGCCGAGATCACGCTGTTGCACTCCAGCCTGGGTGACACAGTGACACTTCCTCTCCAAAAAATAATAGTAATTAAAAAATAAAATAAAGAATAAGTTCAGTTCTTTTTATGAGAAATTTATCTATCTAATCTTTCTATCTACCTATGATTTATTTAAGGATATGTCAGTTATGTGTGTTCTGGAGAAAGAATACCACAATTATACCAGTCCTTTTACGGAAAATTATATTGGGCAATTTGCCTCTTTAATCTTTAGTGCTGCTCTGTAAAAAGGAGATAATAAAAATTATTATATTGTTGTGAGGATGGAATTAAATAACATATGCAGAGTTTAGCACACGATTCTGCACATGGTAAAATGCTCAGTAAATGTTAGCTACTATTAATGATATTTCTTTAATGGAGATTGGCAGATATTATAGCTATTATCTCAGAAATAAAATTGTATATGTTTTTAATATTTTCTAGTAGTTACATTATATAGCTTTTATATAATAACTAAATACACCAAATTACAAATTATGCTTACTAGAGAGATTCCACTTGATAGATTCTAATTAAAAGGAAACACCTCATAAATTCAAAACATGTTCTATAGATCTCATTTGAATTCTGAAACAGCTTTGTGAGGTAAAAAATTTTATCATTCGTCTTCTATAGGTGAGAAAACTGAGATCCAGGGAAGATAAATAGATTTACCCAAAGTTATAAAGCTGATGAGGGCACTCAAACTTACACCACTCAGCTTCTGGGCAGTGCTCTTTCTGCTCTCCATGCAGAAAAGAGGTATTCTGAGTAAAGACGGAAAATAGCTAGTAATTTTCATATTTCAGAAAAGCCATTTTTATTTCAAGAAACTTCAGATCTTGTCTAATATTAATCTCCTTTAAGAATTTTTTCCTGATTATTTTTATCCATTATTTTTCTCTGTATGATGCAAGGATTCCTATTACAGTTTATAAAATGGCTTCAGACACTTATTTTTAAACTATCATTTATAACATTATCTGTATGATAAATTTCATTCCTAATTTTTCCTGTGATCACAAGGACAGAGAGTTATCTGGGTCTTTTTCAAGGCAAAGGGATTGAGGATGACAGGGACCTGCAAAGGGATTGAGGATGATAGGGAACTCAGTAACTTTAAAATGTTTCAACTCTTCAGAGCAACATAGAAAAAAGTATTTCTCTGTATAAGTTGATCACTTCTCATGTATTCCTTACTGGCAAGCAAAATGGAATTTTCAAACTGCAGGTCCAGGCTTATGATTCAAATTTCCTCAATGTTGATTTATAAGCACTAAAAATGACTTAATTTTTAATTGAATTGAGACTTTTAATCTAATTGAGAAATTGGAAACTGAGTCTTCCTCTCTTGATTAAATAAAATGTTACTTTTCTATAGGTGAGTAGCATACATTATATTTGAAGGATTCTGAAATTTTATACATCAGATCTTATACTCTGACTTCATGCTTTTATTTACAGCCTCAAAAAATTAATTTATTTATTTAAACAAAGTTCTCACTCCAAAGTAAATTTCTGACAAGAGAAGTTGGAGGTGGGGGGAGAGAGAGCACTGATTAGGGAAAAACATTAAATTCAATAAAAAAGACTCAGATTCTCTAGGTTCTTGTATGGAAAAGAGGAACTATAAGACTAATTATGAAAGAAATTCAAATGTGAGTCAATAGTGTGGAAATCAAGCTAAAGACAAGAAAAATATTCATGAACTATGTTCAAGAAATATGAAGAACTTTCTCTACCATATTTAACATCATATAGGTGTTTTCACAAGACTCTTATTGATAGGCTTTACTATGCTTACCACGGTTTATAACGTGTTTATTTTTGCAGAGAACCAGAGTCACTCCACGAGTCCTGCCTGGGGCCCCATGAAAGTGGCCAACAATGTCACTGAGTTTATATTCCTGGGACTTTCCCAAGATTCTGGAATGCAATTGATGTTCTTTGTCTTATTTCTCCTCTTCTACGTCGTGATCATGGTGGGAAATTTGCTCATTTTGCTTATGGTCTTTTCTGACTCCCGACTACACACACCCATGTATTTCTTCCTCAGTAACCTGTCTTTTGTGGACATTGCCTATTCCTCACCCACAGCACCCAAGATGATTGAAGACTTTGTTTCTGAGAAAAAGACTATTTCCTACTGGGGCTGTATAACTTAGATGTTTACCTTCCACTTTTTTGGTTGTGCTGAGATTTTTGTTTTGACTGTCATGGCTTTTGATCGCTATGCTGCTATCTGCCAATCCCTCCGTTACACTGTCATCATGAGTGCTAATGCTTATACTGTGCTGGCATCACTGTCCTGGTTGGGGGCCCTGGGTCATTCCTTTGTTCAGACCCTCCTGACCTTCCAGCTGCCCTTCTGTAATGCTCAGGTTATAGACCATTACTTTTGTGATGTCCACCCAGTCCTAAAACTTGCCTGTGCTGATACAACTCTGGTAAATATGTTGGTGGTTGCCAACAGTGGTCTCATCTCCCTGGGGTGTTTCCTCATTCTTTTGGCCTCCTACACAGTCATTCTGTTTAGTCTTCAAAAACAGTCTGCAGAGAGCTGACACAAAGTTCTCTCTACCTGTGGATCTCATCTGACTATAGTAACTTTCTTCTTTGTTCCGTGTATCTTTATTTATCTCCATCCACTACTTTCCCATTGGATAAAGCTGTGTCTGTGTTCTATACCACCATCACCCCAATGCTGAACCCACTCATCTATACTCTGAGGAATGAGGAGTAAAGAATGCCATGAGGCGGCTATGGAGTAGCAAGATCTCCTTGAAGGAAAAGCAGAGAGGATAGTTTGTCAGAATTGCAAAATCACTGAATTAGTGGATACCTTCAATGATCCCTAATTTACTAATAATTAAAAAAACAGTTCCTAAAATGCAGCTTTTATATTTTGTCTAACAGGAAATAATTTGAGGCTATTTTAGACGGGCTAAACTTAAACCTTTCCATACTTGGCAAGGTTTATTCTCTCTTCTAGAGTACAAGAGTTAACACTCCTACTCAATATCTCATTTAACCTCGTTAAATCCCTTCTATTCACATCAAACTCTCTTAAGCTACCATTCAGTAATTTAGAGTGGGGTTATAAGAGAAAGATATCCCTGATCATATCTTCTCACCATATCATGTCTCTTCAAAAAAGAGGTCTAATTTACCAGAAGCTGCACCTTTTCCCTCCTTCTTTTGTTTTCTTTTTCGTCCTTCTCTAGTCTTTTCTTATACATATTGCAAAATCTAGTCAGGGAAACAGATTTGCAAGGAGATAATTACAATACAATACAACAAATGCAGACATAGAAATACATACTTCCTATAATGAAGAGGGTTAGTATAAATCAACAAATTGCCCAAAGGATGGTTTCTGTGCAGGAAAAAAAAAAATAGAACTTTACATATTTTGAGGTGGACAGCAATTTCTTCAAAGACCCTCTTGGAGAATTTGAATACTCTTCTACCCATTACTATAATACTATCTTTACTGAAAGAAATCTTACTTTTTTGCCAATAAAAACAGACTAGATTAAAGCAACTAAAATGAGTTGGTATTTGTACCATTGAAATGACTAAGGAGATGTAATTCTATTATAAATTTTTAGTTGAACTTGTCTTCAGTTCCTTAAAACAACAAAATGGAATAAGCACATTTTCTTCTTGTGGTATTCTTAGTAAAGTTGAAAAATAGTTAAGTATTCTCAGTATTCTGGAAAAGGCATTTTTCTTCTAAGAAATTTTGTTAGATCTTGTCTCATGACTGATGTTGTTCAAGAATTCTGTCCTGATTATTTTTGTTCAACATTTATTTTCTGTATGCCTTAAGCAATCCTGTATGCAATTTATAAAATATCACTTACCTTTTTCTCTTTTTTAGTGGATTTTTATCTGAGATCTACAACTTATGAAGAATACAAATGATGTATATTCTTTTCTACTCTTCATGTATGGACTAGAGGGGCTTGCACAGTAGGTACTTGTCAAAATCTGTTGATTGTAACTCCAATTTCTATTTTTTTCCTTAGTAATGGGGACCTGACATTATTCATGGTGGACCAACTAAAATATTGCATTGACTTGCCTCAGGCTCTTTTAAACTTCAATTCAATAATTTAGAATGACCTTATAAGAAAAAGATATTCCTTTTGAAGCCCAGTGGACAATCTGATGTTAATAGTAGTTGGTTGGTGGGACTTTTGAAAAGTCTTTAAAATGGTTTGTCTACTCCAGCCCTCTCATACATGATCACCATTAACATTTTGATTATTAAAATTTCTTTATAGTTATTGCATGTCCTTATAGTTATTTTCATATTACTTTCCCTTTGCAAAAGGGTCATTCTATCCTTTTTTTAAACTCCTGATTTTTTAAGATAGACAACAAACCCACAAATTATATTAAAAATGATAGAATACATTAGGTTTCCTTTTCCCTCCTAAGAGCAAAGTATTAATAATAAAAATAACAACACTTGCAGTAAGAAAAAAATGGCTGAGACCCACAGGAACAAAGAAACAGGACAGGAGTTAGATGCAGAGAAGAGATTTCAACAAAAGTTTGGAAAAGGTAAGACAAAAAAGTAGTAACTGATTTGGCAGGGTCGGGAAGGCTAAGTCTAAATTCCCAACAAGAGGAATAGTGAGGAAAAGGGGAGAGATTCATTTCCTGGAATCCCTACGATGATTGGGATGCAGGATGCCAGGTCAGCGGGAGGTGAGGTTCAGGGCTGCTAATGAAGATTAAGAGAAAGGAACAGTTCAATCTTCTATCCTCTCTTTCTGCTCCCAGATGCTAACGGTAGCATATGAGTCACAGACAGAACATTGGCACCTTTGTTTAAGAAACTGAATGTTAATGTCACATCTGCCTTTGGAGATTACAAATGAAATGGCTACCTTTCTACTGGAACCCTGACCAGAAGTCTGCCAGTTAGTAAGCTGGCTTAAGAGATCAATCTAAAATTTACATAAGGCTTTTGAAAAAAAGAAAAAAGTAAGTCTTTAAAAAAGCCAAAAGGAAACTGGTGGAATTAGAGGTAATTCGGGGCGGGGGGGGGGGAACTGTAAAAAACTGTATCTTCTCATCAATGAAAGAAAATATTTGTAATCTTGAAATAAGAATATGATGTACTGAAAAAATATAGAAAAATTATTTTTGGAAGGTAAAATCAAAAAGAACAATAAACAAAATTAATATGGCATTAAAAGAAATAAAACAAGTAGTCAAAGAAGTCATAAAAGTACAGTCTCTATGAAAGTAGAATGAAAATGTCAAAGAAATAGAAAACATGAAAGATAAAAACAAGAAACACAAGGAATCAAGTTAGGGGCAAACCATTCAACTCACACATATTCCAGGAGGACAAATTAAACAGAAGGATGGATTTAAAAGAAACAATGAAAATAAATTTCTTAGAACAGAAAAGCTTAATTTTCTCGATATGAAAGATTTACTGAATGCCCACCACAAGATTTAAAAAAAATCCCAAGGCACGTTATTATGAAATTTTATCACCTTAACGATTGAAAATATTGTAAAATTATTAAGAAAAAACCGTATAGCTCACGAATGAACAGAAATTCAAATGGCATGAGTATGCTCTGTAGCAAGCTCATCCTTAGAATACAGTGGAAAAGTTTCTCACACTGATTTTCAGGCTAGAATTCTATACAGAACAAATCTATCAGGAAGATAGAATAAAGCATATTTAATCATACAAAAATTTATAAAGTTTACTTCATAAGTACTCTCTTTTTTTGAAAGTGTGGGATAATATATCCCAGCAAAACAAGAGGAAGAAATGAGATCAATAAACTAATATATGCAATGCAGGGTGGCTAAAGCCACTTTAAAAAAAATCCCAATCTCTTTTTTCTTTCTTCATGTGAGTCAGGTAATGTATATATGTCATAAGGTTTGAGGGAGGTACATTTCACACAGGAGTGCAAAAACTCAGTCATCACGCTTATGAACTACGAAGGGATCAAAAGGCACTTTTAAGATGACAGATGTACAGTAGGCATAGGAGACAACAGAAATGGATGAAAGCAGAAGATGGAAGCCCTCCAGGTTCATAAAACAGAAAGGAGAGGGTGAAAATTTATATTATCTAATATATTGAAGCATCTTAGTTGTAAAGGTACAGTCAATAAGATGAAACAAGTTGATACACTCAAGGAAGGATACATTTATAGAAAATTATATCATTTAGAGTTCCAACAGGAAGTTAATGACACACTTAATATAGGATAATTTGATAAACATTTATTTAACGAGATGCTGTCTATGAATTTATAGGTATAGAGTACCACACAGGCCAGGGGTAAGATGGGGTGGAGCTGTTTACACCATTGTGCCTGAAGGGACTGAGAGAGGGAGGAAATACAGAAACCCCAAAAAGAGATATTTATGATAGCCATTTGAAAGGAGGAATGAACTTCAGTGGGAGGTCAACCAGCATGTGGCCACATGGTCTAGCTTATTCTCCTTCATTCCCCTTTTCCAGTTTTATTGAAGTATATTTGACAAATAAGAATCATACATATTTAAATGTGCAACTTGATGTTTTGAACTATGTGTACACTGTGAAAAGATCATCACACTTAAGATAATTAACATATCCATTACCTCACAGGGTTATGTTTTTCTGTGTGTGGTGTGAACCCTTAAGATCTACTCCCTTAGTACATTTCAGTTGTCCAATACAGTATTGCATTGTAATACAGACACCATGTTGTGCATTAACTCTCCAGAACTCACTCATTTTTGCATAACTGAAACTTTGTAACCTTTAGTCCATTATCTCCTCATTTCTCCCTTTCCTTTCCACTCTTGGCAACCGCCATCCTACCTTCAGTTTGAGTATTTTAGATTCCACACATAAGTGAGATCATGCAGTATTTGTCCTTCTGTAAGTTGCTTTTTAAAGGCTGAATAATACTCCATTGCATATATATACTACAATTTTCTCAGGCTTTATTGAGGTATGATTTACAAATAAAATTTGCATATATTTAGGGTATATGCATACTTACGAAATGATTACCACAACCAAGCTAATTAATATATTCATCATGTTACATCATTACCATTTGCGTATAATGTGTGTATGTGTGTGTGTTAACACTTGAGATCTACTTTCTTAGCAAATTTGAAGCTACTGTACATTTGGTCTCCAGTACTTACTCATCTTGTAGCTGAAAGTTTGTACCCTTTGACCAACATCTTTTTCCTGGCATTTCCCAGCCCCTGCTAACCACCACTCTACTGTCCATTGCTATGAGTTTGATTTTTTTAAATATTGCACCTGTATGGGATATCATGTAGTATTTGTCGTTATGTATCTGGCTTATTGCACTTAGCATAATGTCCTCCAGGTTTATCCATGTGGCAAATGGCAGGATTTCCTTCTTTTTAAGGCTGAATAATCCATTGTGTGTGTTTGTACCACATTAAAAAAATCTATGCATCTGTAGATGAACACTTAGTTTGTTTCTATATCTTGGCTAGTGTTACAATGCTGCAGTGAATTTGAGAGTGCAGATATCTCTTTAAGATAGTGGTTTTATTTCTTTTGCATACGTACCTAGAAGTGGGATTGCTGTTATTATATGAGAAGTTTATTTTTTTTTTTTTGAGGAGCCTACATACTGTCTTCAATAATGGTTGCACTAATTTATATCTCTACCAAAAGTTTACAAGGGTTTTGTATTAGTCCGTTCTCACACTGCTAATAAAGACATATCTGAGACTAGGTAATTTATATAGGAAAGAGGTTTAACTGACCCACATTTCAGCATGGCTGGGAAGGCCTCAGGAAACTTATAGTCACAGTCATGGTGGAAGAGGAAGCAAACATGTCTTTCTTCACATGGTGGCAAGAGAGAGAAGACTGAGAACTGAGTAAAGGATAAAGCCCCAGGTAAAGTCATCAGATCTTGTAAGAACTTACTCACTATCACAAGAATAGCATGAGAAAACTGCCCCCATGATTCAATTACCTTTCACTGGGTCTCTCCCATGACATGTGAGGACTACGGGAAATATAATTCAAGATGGGATTTGGGTGGGGACACAGCCAAACCATATCAGGTTTCCTTTACATCCTTGCCAACACATGCTATCACTGGACTTTTTGATAAAAGGCAATCTAACAGGTGGTTGGTGATATCTCAGTGAGGTTTTGATTTGCCTTGATGATTTCTGATTTTGAGCATTTTTTCCATATACCTGTTGGCCATTTGTGTATCTTCTTTGGAAAAATATCTATTCAGATCCTTTGCCCATTTTATGAAATCATTTTAAAAATATCTTTTGCCCATTTAGAAGCTTGTTTGTTTGCTATTTGGTAGTATAAGTTCTGTATATATTTTGGATATTAACTCCTTATTGGATGTGTGGTATACAAATATTTTCTCCCTTTCTGTAGATTTCTCTTTCATCAAGCAAATAAAGATGAGACCAATGTCCAGGAACTTTTCCCCATGTTTCCTCCTAGGAGTTTATGGGGCCAGGTCTTATGTTAAGTCTATAATCCACTTTGAATTAACTTTTGTGATTGGAATAAGAGAAGCACGGATTCTTTGCATGTGGATATCCAATTTCCCAACATCATTTATAGACGAGTCTGTCCTTTACATTGTATATTCTTGGTACCTTAGTTGAAAAAATTAGCTGACTGTAGGTATGTGAGTTTAGTTCTGAGCTTTCTATTCTGTTTTATTGGTATACATGTTTTTATGCCAGCAACATCTGTTTTGATTATTACAGTTTTGTAATGGAGTTGAAATCAGGAAGTTTAATACCTCTAGCTTTGTACTTATACTCAAGATTGCTTAAGCTTTTCATGCTCTTTTATGGTTGCATATGAATTTCAGAATTATTTTTTCCATTGCTGTGAAAAATGTTCATTGCCATTTTGATCGGGATTGCGTTGAATGTACAGATCATTTTCAGTAGTATGGACTTTTTAACAATATTAATTCTTCCAGTTCATGAATATGGGATATGTTTCACTTATTTTTGTCTTCCACAATTTATTTCATTAATCTTTTATACTTTTCAGTGTACAGATATTCTATCTCTTTAGTTAAATTTATTTGTAAGTATTTTATTCTTTTTGATGTGCTCATAATGATAACTTTTTCTTGACTTTTTCTTTCTATAGATCATTATTGGTGTAAAGAAATGCAACTGAATTTTTCTGTTGATTTTGTAGTCTGCAAAATTACTGAATTTGCTTATTAGTTCTAACAGTTTTTTAGTGGAGTCTTCAGGATTCTTTCTACATAGGATCATGCCATCTTCTAACAGAGACACTAACTTTTTTATTTGGATGCACTTTATTTCTTTTTCCTAATTACTTTGGTTATGACGTCCAGTACTATGTTGAATGGAAGTGGGGAGAGTGGTCTTGTTCTTGATCTTAGAGGGAAACATTTCAATTTCTCATCGAGTATAATGTTTATCATAGGCTTGTGATATACAGGCTTTATTGTGTTGAGGTACATTCCTATAATTTGTTGAAAATTTTGTATTGTGAAAGAATGTTGAATTTTGTCAAATGATTTTTCTGCATTTGTTTAGATGATCTCATGGTTTTTATTTCTTATTCTGTTAATGTGGTGTAGCACATTTGTTGATTGTGTATGTTGGATAATTCTTACATCCCAGGAATAAATCCTACTTTGTCGTGATGCAAAATCTTTTTAATGTCCTGGTATATTTGGTTTGCCAGTAGTTTGTTGAGGATTGTTGGACCTTTGTTCACAAGGGACATTGGCCTATAATCTATATTTCTTGTTGGTGTCCTTATCTGGGTTTGGTATGAAGGCAGCGTTGGCATTGTAAAATGAGTTTTAAAATATCCCCTCCTCTTCAACTTTTTGGAAGGATTTTAGAAGGATAGGTATTAGTTCTTTTCAAAATATTTGGTAGAATTCAACTATGAAGCCATCAGGTCCTAGGATTTTCTTTGATAGGAGATTTTATTATTGATTCAATCTCCTTACTCATTACTGTTAAGATTTTCTAGCTCTTCATGATTCAGTCTTGTAGGCTGTATGTGTCTAGGAATTTATCCATTTCTTCTAGGCTATCCAATCTTTTGACTTGTAATGGTTCATAGTATTATCTTATGATTCTTTATATTTTTTGTAGCATCAGTTGTAATGTTTCCTTTTTCATTTTGGCTTTTATTTATTTAAGTCTATTTTTTCTCAGTGTAGATCAAGTATTGTTGATTTTATTTATATTTCCAAAAATCAATCTTAGTTTCATGATCTTTTCTACTGTTTCTCTAGTCTCACTTTCATTGATTTCTTTTCTAATCTTTGTTATGTCCTTTTTTTCTAACTTTGGGCTTAGTTTGTTCTTTTTTTAGTTCATTGAGCTGTAATGTTAGGTTGTTAATTTGAGACCTTTCGTCTTTTTTTTGTAAACATTTATTACTATACATTTCTCCCTTAAAACTACTTTTGCTGCATCCCATACCTTTTTGTATGTCATGTCCATTTTCATGTGTCTCAAGATATTTTTACATTTACCTTTTGACTTCTTTTTTTGGCCCATTGGTGGTTGTTTAATTTCCATATGTACATGAATTTTCCAGTTTTCCTGTTATTATTGATTTTAGTTTCATACCACTACGGTCAGAAAATATATTTGATATGATTTCAGTCTTCTGAAATTTGTTAAGACTTGTTTGTGGCTTAACATACAATCTGTCCAGGAGAATATTCTGTGTAAGCTTGAGAAGAATGTGTGTTCTGCTGTTGGATCAAATATTCCGTGTATGTCTATTAGATTCATTTAGTCTGAAGTAGTTCAAGACAATGTTTTCTTAATAATATTCTTTCTGGATGATTTATCCATTGTTGAAAATCAGATATTAAAGTTCTCTATTATTGCATTGCAGTCTATCTCTTGCTTTAGATTTGTTAATATTTGCTTTATATATTTAGGTGCTCTGATGTTGGGTGTATTCATATTTATAACTGTTCTATTATCTTGATGAATTGACTTTCTTACCAATATCTAATGACCTTCTTTGTCTCTTGTGACAGTATTTAAAGTCTATTTTGTGTGATACACATGTAACTGCTACTGCTCTTTTTTGGTTTTCATTTTCATGGAATATTTTTGTTTTTTATCCCTTTACTTTTAGTCTATGTGTGTTATTAAAGGTGAAGTGAGTTTCTTGTAGGCAGCATTTAGTTGGATCTTATTTTTATAAATCAATTCAGCCACTTTTTGTCTTTTGATTGACAAAATTTGCTTATTTATAGTTGGTAAGTAAAGATTTATTATTGTCAATTTATTGTTTTCTGGTTGCTTTGTAGGTCCTTTATTCCTTTATTACTCCTTTGTTGTTTTCCTTTGTGATTTGATCATTTTCCTCGGTGGTATGCTTTGATTCTTTTCTGTTTATCTTTTGTGTATTTACTATAGGTTTTTAATTTGTGGTTGCCATGAGGCTTACATAAATATTCTTATTGTTTTACCAATTCACTTAAAGACGATAACATCTTCACTTTGATTGCTAAAGAAGCTCTGTACTTTTACTTCCCTTCTCTTACATTGTGCTTTTGATGTTACAGTTTACATTTTTTATATGTCTTAAGAATTTATTATAGCTATAGTCATTTTTCATACATTCATCTTATAACTTTATAATGATGTTGTGATTTACACCACCACCATTATGGTGCTTGAATATTCTAAATTTAACCATATATATACTTTACCAGTTAGTTTTATATTTTTATATGTTTTAATGTTACTAATTAGCTGCCTTTTATTTAATCTTAAAAATCCCCCTTTAGCATTTCTTGTAAGGCAAGCAATAGTGAAGACTCACTCAACTTTTCTTTTTTTTTTCTAAAAAAGTCTTTATCTTCTTCATTTCTGAAGGACAGCTTTGCTGGCAAAATATTGCTGGTTGGCAGTTTTATTTTTCTTCCATTGCTTTGAATATATTATTTCATTCTCTCCTGATCCTCAAGGTTCCTGCTGAGAAATCCACTGATAGCTTTATTTGGGTCCTTTTTTATATGACATGATTCTTTTCTCTTGCTGCTTACAAGCTTCTCTCTTTGTTTTTGATTTTTGCCAGGTTGACGATAATGTATGTTTGTGGATTCTTTTTTTGGTTGAATTGACTGGAGAACTTTAGGCTTCATGCATCTGGATGCTCATTTCTTTCCTGACATTTGCTAAGTTTCCTATGATTATTTCCTTAAATAAGCTTTCTATCTAATGCTCTCTCTATTTTTCTTCTGAACCTACTATAATTCTAATGTTAGCTCTCTTGATAGTATTCCATGGCTTCTGTAGGTTTTATTCTTTTTTTTCTTTTATCTCCACTTACTGGATGATTTAAAATGCTCGGTCTTTGAGTTCACTTATTTTTTTATTCTGCTTCACTTAGTCTGATGTTCAAGCCTCTATTACATTTTTTTAGTTTAGCTGTTGTATTTTTCAGCTCCAACATTTCTGTTTGGTTCTTTTTAAAATATTTTCTGTCTCTTTATTGAGCTTCTCATTTTGTTCTTGGATTGTCTTCCTGATTTCATTAAACTATTTATTTGTGTTCTCTTGTAGTTCCCCAAGATTCCTTAGGCAATTATTTTGATTTTTTCCAGGCAATTTATAGATCTCCAATTCTTTGGGGTTGGTTACTAGAAATTAATTTTGTTCCTTTGGTGGTGTCATGTTTTCCTGCTTCTTTGTGATCTTTGGGTGTTGATTTTGTCAGTGACTAAACCTGCTGGAGTCCTCTGTGGAGTTAAGTACTATAGTTTGTGCAATGATAATTGTGGGTTCCTTGGTAGTAAAAGCAGTGTGGTATGTGCAGCTGATAATGACAGGAGACAGACAGATTCCTAGGCAGACAGGGATAAGTCCCTGGTGAATCCCAACCTTCAAGCCAAAGACAACCTGAGGCCTGAAAACCAAGCCGCCAGTTCCAGGTGGAGTCCACGACCCAACTGAGAACTTCCTCAGTGCCTTTTAGTCAATTAAATGGTGCTTTTTCCAGGCCTGCCCATGAACCAATCAGCACAGATTCCTCCATTCTGAGCCCATAAAAACCCCAGACTCAGCCTCACAGATGGCTCTCTGCTTTCAGCCCCACTCTTACACAGAGGGCTGCCCACTTTGGCTACTCTCTTGTTGTCAAGAGCTTTTCTGCTGCTCAATAAAAATCTCATCAGCCTTGCTCACTCTGCGGTGTCTGCATGCTTCATTCCTGTTGGTTGCAGGACAAGAATCCAGGATCCACTGAACAGTGGGTGCGAAAAGAGCTGTAAGATACACCTCCTGTTCACCAAGCTACAGAAGTGAAAAAAAAATGCTGGGTGCCACAAGTCCCCAATTGCTGAGCTGTGGGCAGCAGGACTGAATGAGCTGTGACACATCCCCATTTGCTGAAACTGCCAGCAGTGAGAACGAACAAGAGCTGTAACACTTCCTGGGGGCTCAGACCTTGACTCCCAGAGCAAAAGCTGTAACACCTCTTCGGGCTCCACAGTTGCTGGCATCTCTGAGTTTTTGGGCACTGCTGCATCCCCCTTATCCAGATGCCAGCGCTCAAGGCAGAAGTCAGTCATAGCATGCCCAAACCAACCGTGGGCTGAGCACTGAGCTACGGTGGGTGTCATGGCGTCTGGGTGAGTGAGCATGAGTGGAGCACAGCCTGCCAGGCCAAATGAGCAGGACGAGCTCAGAGGGCCTGAGTGAAGCCTCAGCAGAGGCTCTGCTGGCCATCGAGATTTCCACTTGGCAAAGTGGCCCTCAAAGAATCCTGTGTCACATCCATGAGGGCTGTTGAGGTCCTTGGTATAGAAGGCTACCAGAATTCCGCTCAGATCAGGCTACTGGGGACTGCATTGATTCCTACCACAGGACTGATACTGATAGACCTCATCATTTCTCTTTCTTACCAGCAGTTTACAGATTTCTCTCCTATGTTGGTCTCCCTAGCAATCTGGGATGGGTGAAACTTAAGCTGGTTGTTTGGGCAGTGCTCCAGTAGGCTGGGTAAGATGGTTCACTCCACTCTCCTTTTCTCTGCAAGGGGAACTTGCAAGCTGAGCAGTGACCTCTCCATACTGAGCACTGCCAGCCTGAGGAAGATGACGCAGGCAAAATGAAACTGTTTTTTCTACCATTTTTTTGTGTTTTTTCTTGAAGTTTTTCTGTCTGCTCTGTTGTTTTAACTTCTGAAGTAGATTCCTGATCTCTGCTAGATATTTTCATTTGTGGATATTTGCCCAGTTGTTGTTCCTTTAGGAGGAATAAAGACTGAGATCACCTACTCTGCCATTCTAGCTGATGTCTAACACATTTTCTTTGTTCATCTGTCTATGGACTTTTAGGCTGTTTCCATATCTTGGCTTTTGTGAATAATGCTGTAGTAAACATGGGTGTGAAGGTATCTCTTTGAGGTTCTGATTTCAATTCTTTTGGACATATTCCTAAAAGTGGGATTGCTGAATCATATAATAATTTTGTTTTTAATGTTTTGAGGAACTGACACATTATTTTTCATAGTGACTGCACCATTTTCTATTTCCACCAAAAGTGTATAGGAGTTTCAATTCCCTAAATTCTAGCCAACACTTCTTTTGTTTTTTGATAATAGCCATGCTAATAGGCATGAGGCAATATCTCATTGGTGTTTGGATATGCATTTCCTTAACAACTAGTGATGCTGAACATATTTGCTTATACCTGTTGGCCATTTGTGTATTTCCTCTGAGAAATGTCTTCAAGTTTTTCACCCACTTTGAAATTGCATTATTATCATTATTATTTTTGCCATAGTATGACTGATTTTTAAGTGCTTCTTATATAATGGAGTTATTTAAATTTATTTTTTTCTGTTCATTATTTGCCTGTTAAATTTGTCTTTATTTTCTAGTAATTTTAAATTGTTTTAATTTCTAACATTTTCCCCTATATTTGTGTTTGCCATTGATAAATTTTAAATTTCATTATCAAATATGCTATAACTCTTTTCTTATTGTTTTTCCTTCATAGGGGCAGGATATACTTAAAAGTTTTTATTTATTCCAAAATAATTTAAATAGTCTCTCTATGTTTCTAGTAATTAAAAAAATTACTCCTTTGCAATTTATGTTAAGTATAAGTTATAAAATATAATTCTTTTAAAAAATCTGGTTAACCAGTTGTTCCAGCACAACTTATTGTGTCCTCTGGGACAATAGAATTGAAAATGCACGTCATACTCTAGAGAGCACATATTGTACATCGTAGCATTTTCCACCCCTAATCCTGGGAAATTCGCCATTTTTCTTACTTCTTCTGTGAAACTCAAAAGTTGTGTTTCTGTGCTCTTTGGATGAAGTGCAAATCAACTTTTAAATTATTCCCTCAGGGCTTATGTTCCTACCTGGCTTCTCCTGGCCTCCAGAGGATTGATTTTTGTAGTTACAGCTCATGCTGCTAGTTAGTTTACTGTTACATCAGGGCAGAAACTGATGCATACCAACATGTACCCAGGATAAAGTCCTCCACTGCGGGTGGTGGAAGAGGCTTCTTCTACCTCCTCCCCATAGTTCCTGAAGGCACCAAGACTGTCACAGTAATTGGTAGGTGGAATGTTGTTATAACATTTACATAAACCATCCTATTTTTGAGACAGTAGGACAGATAATAATGATGGGAATAACTATGTAAAATGCTCAGAGATCAGTGGTAAGAAACAGAAAGCAGCATGTAAGGAAATGTCTTAGGGAACTGTGATGATAGTATAGAGTAGGTTTTAGCTGTGGAGTGGGTGGACAAATTGTTTCTTTTCAGCCTTGGTCTCAATAATTAAAGCATTTTAAAGTCAGGGTTGAACAGGGCATTGAAGAGACAGCTTCATCATTTTATACTCATAGGATGAATCATTTCTAAGCAAGCTCAGAGAAGGCTGTTTTGATTTATGGGTCTTCAGAGCGTGACAGATTATTAAAATAAACGTCCAAAATTTTGAATCCTTTTACTCCTGGAAGAAAGACAGGAAAACCCCAAGATCTTTAGTTACTTCTTTTTATTTTTATTTTTATTTTTATTTTATTTTATTTTTTTATACTTTAAGTTTTAGGGTACATGTGCACATTGTGCAGGTTAGTTACATATGTATACATGTGCCATGCTGGTGCCCTGCACCCACTAACTCGTCATCTAGCATTAGGTATATCTCCCAGTGCTATCCCTCCCCCCTCCCCCCACCCCACCACAGTCCCCAGAGTGTGATATTCCCCTTCCTGTGTCCATGTGATCTCATTGTTCAATTCCCACCTATGAGTGAGAATATGCGGTGTTTGCTTTTTTGTTCTTGCAATAGTTTACTGAGAATGATGATTTCCAGTTTCATCCATGTCCCTACAAAGGACATGAACTCATCATTTTTTGTGGCTGCATAGTATTCCATGGTGTATATGTACCACATTTTCTTAATCCAGTCTATCATTGTTGGACATTTGGGTTGGTTCCAAGTCTTTGCTATTGTGAATAATGCCGCAATAAACATACGTGTGCATGTGTCTTTATAGCAGCATGATTTATAGTCATTTGGGTATATACCCAGTAATGGGATGGCTGGGTCAAATGGTATTTCTAGTTCTAGATCCCTGAGGAATCGCCACACTGACTTCCACAATGGATGAACTAGTTTACAGTCCCACCAACAGTGTAAAAGTGTTCCTATTTCTCCACATCCTCTCCAGCACCTGTTGTTTCCTGACTTTTTAATGATTGCCATTCTAACTGGTGTGAGATGGTATCTCATTGTGGTTTTGATTTGCATTTCTCTGATGGCCAGTGATGATGAGCATTTTTTCATGTGTTTTTTGGCTGCATAAATGTCTTCTTTTGAGAAGTGTCTGTTCATGTCCTTCGCCCACTTTTTGATGGGGTTGTTTGTTTTTTTCTTGTAAATTTGTTTGAGTTCATTGTAGATTCTGGATATTAGCCCTTTGTCAGATGAGTAGGTTGCGAAAATTTTCTCCCATTTTGTAGGTTGCCTGTTCACTCTGATGGTAGTTTCTTTTGCTGTGCAGAAGCTCTTTAGTTTAATTAGATCCCATTTGTCAATTTTGGCTTTTGTTGCCATTGCTTTTGGTGTTTTGGACATGAAGTCCTTGCCCATGCCTATGTCCTGAATGGTCATGCCTAGGTTTTCTTCTAGGGTTTTTATGGTTTTAGGTCTAACGTTTAAATCTTTAATCCATCTTGAATTGATTTTTGTATAAGGTGTAAGGAAGGGATCCAGTTTCAGCTTCCTACATATGGCTAGCCAGTTTTCCCAGCACCATTTATTAAATAGGGAATCCTTTCCCCATTGCTTGTTTTTCTCAGGTTTGTCAAAGATCAGATAGTTGTAGGTACGCGGCATTATTTCTGAGGGCTCTGTTCTGTTCCATTGATCTATATCTCTGTTTTGGTACCAATACCATGCTGTTTTGGTTACTGTAGCCTTGTAGCATAGTTTGAAGTCAGGTAGTGTGATGCCTCCAGCTTTGTTCTTTTGGCTTAGGATTGACTTGGCAATGCGGGCTCTTTTTTGGTTCCATATGAACTTTAAAGTAGTTTTTTCCAATTCTGTGAAGAAAGTCATTGGTAGCTTGATGGGGATGGCATTGAATCTGTAAATTACCTTGGGCAGTATGGCCATTTTCACAATATTGATTCTTCCTACCCATGAGCATGAAATGTTCTTCCATTTGTTTGTATCCTCTTTTATTTCCTTGAGCAGTGGTTTGTAGTTCTCCTTGAAGAGGTCCTTCACATCCCTTGTAAGTTGGATTCCTAGGTATTTTATTCTCTTTGAAGCAATTGTGAATGGGAGTTCACTCATGGTTTGGCTCTCTGTTTGTCTGTTGTTGGTGTATAAGAATGCTTGTGATTTTTGTACATTGATTTTGTATCCTGAGACTTTGCTGAAGTTGCTTATCAGCTTAAGGAGATTTTGGGCTGAGACAATGGGGTTTTCTAGATATACAATCATGTCGTCTGCAAACAGGGACAATTTGACTTCCTCTTTTCCTAATTGGATACCCTTTATTTCCTTCTCTTGCCTAATTGCCCTGGCCAGAACTTCCAACACTATGTTGAATAGGAGTGGTGAGAGAGGGCATCCCTGTCTTGTGCCAGTTTTCAAAGGGAATGCTTCCAGTTTTTGCCCATTCAGTATGATATTGGCTGTGGGTTTGTCATAGATAGCTCTTATTATTTTGAAATACGTCCCATCAATACCTAATTTCTTGAGAGTTTTTAGCATGAAGGGTTGTTGAATTTTGTCAAAGGCTTTTTCTGCATCTATTGAGATAATCATGTGGTTTTTGTCTTTGGTTCTGTTTATATGCTGGATTACATTTATTGATTTGCGTATACTGAACCAGCCTTGCATCCCAGGGATGAAGCCCCCTTGATCATGGTGGATAAGCTTTTTGATGTGCTGCTGGATTCGGTTTGCCAGTATTTTATTGAGGATTTTTGCCTCAATGTTCATCAAGGATATTGGTCTAAAATTCTCTTTTTTGGTTGTGTCTCTGCCCAGCTTTGGTATCAGAATGATGCTGGCCTCATAAAATGAGTTAGGGAGGATTCCCTCTTTTTCTATTGATTGGAATAGTTTCAGAAGGAATGGTACCAGTTCTTCCTTGTACCTCTGGTAGAATTCGGCTGTGAATCCATCTGGTCCTGGACTCCTTTTGGTTGGTAAGCTATTGATTATTGCCACAATTTCAGCTCCTGTTGTTGGTCTATTCAGAGATTCAACTTCTTCCTGGTTTAGTCTTGGGAGAGTGTATGTGTCGAGGAATTTATCCATTTCTTCTAGATTTTCTAGTTTATTTGCGTAGAGGTGTTTGTAGTATTCTCTGATGGTAGTTTGTATGTCTGTGGGATCAGTGGTGATATCCCCTTTATCATTTTTTATTGTGTCTATTTGATTCTTCTCTCTTTTTTTCTTTATTAGTCTTGCTAGCAGTCTATCAATTTTGTTGATCCTTTCAAAAAACCAGCTCCTGGATTCGTTGATTTTTTGAAGGGTTTTTTGTGTCTCTATTTCCTTCAGTTCTGCTCTGATTTTAGTTATTTCTTGCCTTCTGCTAGCTTTTGAATGTGTTTGCTCTTGCTTTTCTAGTTCTTTTAATTGTGATGTTAGGGTGTCAATTTTGGATCTTTCCTGCTTTCTCTTGTGGGCATTTAGTGCTATAAATTTCCCTCTACACACTGCTTTGAATGCGTCCCAGAGATTCTGGTATGTTGTGTCTTTGTTCTCGTTGGTTTCAAAGAACATCTTTATTTCTGCCTTCATTTCGTTATGTACCCAATAGTCATTCAGGAGCAGGTTGTTCAGTTTCCATGTAGTTGAGCGGCTTTGAGTGAGATTCTTAATCCTGAGTTCTAGTTTGATTGCACTGTGGTCTGAGAGATAGTTTGTTATAATTTCTGTTCTTTTACATTTGCTGAGGAGAGCTTTACTTCCAACTATGTGGTCAATTTTGGAATAGGCATGGTAGTTACTTCTTATAGTTCTTCAGGATGATCTCTGTGAAGAGGAAGGGAAAGGTGAGGCTTGAAATATTTCATTTCAAAGGGATTAGTGTTAGTAGTAGCAAAAACTTTGAAAATAAATAGAAAAGCAAAAAAGAAACTTAAAAGCAAAGAGACTCTTACTTGAAATAAATGTGGGTGAAATATGTATTTTAACAAAAAGGATTCCAAAAAGCAAAATTAGGAATTATGTAGCAGAGTAGGGAAAGAAGAAATGAATTAATAAAAACAATTAGATGTTGTGGTGTTTAATTTTTGTCAAAGTCTACTGATCTATTTATTCAATAAAAAATCTATGTAATCATCCCATCCATCCATCCATTTAACAAACACATATTGAAGACCATAACATGCTAGGAACTACTTTAGGCAGTAGATATATAAATGAGACATACTCCATGACCTCAAGGAGCTCAGAGTTCCTGTTATATTTTGCAAAATACAAACTGAAAAATTATAATGTAATGAGTTAAAATTTGTACTGGAGGTGTAAACAGTACTATTATGGGAGCCATAAAAATATGACATTTTTATGGAACTTATATATACAAAATTCATACAAAATTTCAGGCATTTTAGAAAACAAGCTTCTGAGAATAGCTGAAGGATTTAAAAATAGTGATACATCAACAATGTAACAGGACTGTGGGTCTGGGAAAAATGTGGGGAGCATTATATGCATTAATCACTACAATACCTGTGAAGTAGGTACTGTTATTATTTCCATTGCACTAATGAGGCACACTGAGGCAGAGGTAAGTGAGTTGCCCAGGATTACACAGCTAGTAAGTGCTTAGCTGTGGTTAGAATGAAGGCACTGAGAAATAAAATAAAAATGAAACCCTTAGCTCCCCAAGCTACTGAATGGACCCTCTCTTGGCCAAGGGCACCCCAGAGTAACCTTAAAAGCTGAGTTTTCATCCATGACAAGATGGGCGGTCAGAGGTGCCTTCTTACATCCCCGCCCTCACTTAACTACCATTAGACTTTCCTACCTAAGTGCTAAATAGAAACCAGCTCTTTTGAAAGACTCCACTGCTGATATCAACAAATCACTGAAGCAGTCCCTCTTTTTTTGTGGTTTTAACATGGCAATTAACCAGCATTCCTTCCTGATAAGAGACCAACTATATGCTACTCATGAAGGGGCATGAAGCACAATTGTGCATGTGCATGGTTGTCCTTTCATAAATATTCAAGATTCCTCCTATAGCTTATTGAGCATATGTATTTGGCCACCTCACTCAGTACATATTCCTTTTGACACTGTCTCGAAATGTTTGTTTCTGGCTCCTGGCCAGAGGCTATATTTCCCAGCCTGTCATAATAGCCACCCTTCAGGCTACAACTCTATGAGAAATAAAGGTCCTCCTTTCCAAATTTATGAACCCCATCATTCTTCAGTTGATAGCACTGACACCCCATATCTAAGTATATTAAAAGAGAAATAAGCTGCAAATATATATAATATATAAATATGTAATATATGTAAATATATGATATATACATATTTATATATAATTTATATTATATATAAAATATTTTAATATACTTTAATATATTCAAGTAAATTAAAAGAATATATTAATAGTTGTATATAAAATAAGTATTTTAATATACTTTAATAATGTTAATGTATATACTATATATTTTAATATACTTTAATAACATTAAAGTGTATTATTAAATATAATAATATATTAAAGTATATTAAAAGAGAAATAAGCAGCAAATGATCTTCAAAATAGTCTCATTGAGATCAGCCCTTCTCTTATCCTAATGGTTTCTTCTTGCCTAGTTTACTGTGGGCAACAATGCATACAGAAAATCAATGTAATAACTACATCTTGATATTTTCTGCTACTGGTTTATTTATGACACTCGAGGTCCCTTGGCTACCTATACCCATCTATATGGTGAAGATGCTTCTGTATACTCCTTCCTCACCATCCCACAGAATAAGTGAGCTCCATATCCTAAAAATAGGAAAATTAATTTGCATTCTTTCTAAGTGTTGTATATATCCACAATGGTGATGATATCACTGTTTCTCCCTATTGCTACCCAAATCATTCTTAATTTACCTTTCTGAGAATTTTACTCTCAACCTACTTTTACTTTAACGGAATCATAGGATTTTAGAGGTAGAACATTTCTTAAAATTCTAGTTAAAATCCCTCCTTTTGCTATGAAGAAACTGTCATAGAGGAAGATCTCACGACCTCAACATCACGCAGATTCTTGTTTTCTCCCAAAGCATTGCTTCTCTTGAGAAGATTTCACAGTTCACTCACCGACAGGGAATGCACCTGTACTCCTAGGTATTTCCATAGTCATCCTCTAGGTACTACATCCCTGTAGATTAAGAATGGGAATTTTCTAGATGTTGTTAAAAGAGGAGCAGAAGCTTAGGAGGAGTAGGTGGGTGGATGTAAGATGAAGTAAATCTTCTTAAGGAACTTATCCAACCACTGCTCTAAGAGTAAGGACTGATTTGGAATAGTCATCCCCTCCTCAATGGCAACCTTAGAAAAAAATGCCCTAAGTCAATCTTCATGAGTGGCTTATCTCCCCCAAGAATTTCCCATAAACATAATTGCTTGCTTTGGGTTTTTTTGGTACAATTCCCAGCTTTTCTTGGGGTGTTACAGTGCATACCCAAGTATGTATAGTTTATTTAGCCCAATTTTATTAAGGACGTGGTATGGGCTGGATGAACCTCATTTTAGACACAGAAGATAGGAAAACAATATTTTTAAATTGCCATTGTGGAGTTCAAATTCCAGCTGCCTTTGGTACTATGACAATAGCAACATATGATCCATTGATAAACCCTGGAGTTGCATCTCCTAAATATTTTCTAAACAAATTATTATTCTCTTCAAATAGTTATTGCTGTATTGTTAGTTTAAGCCATATATATATATATATATATATATATATATATATATATATATATATATATTCTTGTAATGTTGTCTTACTCTGATTTATTCACATAGCAGCCAGGGTGATATTTCTAAATTGCAAATTGTATTAAGCTATTCTCCCGAGTTTTATTGTAAAACATATTGAAAGAAAATTGGAAATCCAATTTTATTATTGTGGGCTACATTACTTGGTCTTTGACTAACTCTTTATTTTGTTCTTATGCTTCTACCAGTTGTGGGTCTTCTACAGTTCTTAGAAAGTCTTTCATGACACAAGGCCTTTTCATTTACTATTCTCTATTCCTAAAATGCTTTTCTTCAAACTTTCAAAGTTAGAAAAACGTCACCAACTCAGAACCTTTTCTAAAATACTCCATCACACACATACCACTCCCATCATTATTTACTCTACCATTGCCTTTTTATTTCCTGCTTGTCTTTTAGCACTAGTAGCAATTATTTTATTTTACTTATTTATATTTTATTTTATTTTTATTTGTTTACTTATTTATTGTCTGTCTATATTTTCAGAATGGAAGTTTGATGAGGCAGATATTGAGTGTTCCTTGTTCATTGTTGTGTCTCAGCAGGTAGCATATAGTAGATACTCTCTAAATGTTTGTGGGATAAACAAATGAATAGTTTACAGAAGTGACACAGAAGCTATATATTTAGGAATAGACTTTTTAATATCACATGTAGATAGCTTTGTTTTGACATGTGTTAAATGACAAGTGCTGGACAGAATAAGAATTGTTGCGTCATTTATGGTATTTTAGGTAATGGTTATGTTAATGTAGGGAAACTAGGTGCTTGTTCTTCCTTGAAGTGACATGGTGTAGTGGTGTGTGTGTGTGTGTGTGTGTGTGTGTGTGTGTGTGTGTGTGATGAGTAGTGGCTGAGCATTACTAGCTTTGGGAGTAGGGGGTTTGATTGGCTGCCTGACTATTGGATTGAGATGCTCCAGCAAAATATTTCTTTTCCACTTGACACTTGTGAAGGGTGGAGGACAGAGACACTCATCAAGGAGTGTGGAGGGATGAATCCTTTGTATTTTTGTCCTAAGGAATAAATGTGGTTGATTTTGGTTCTTAATGCAAAGTATATACATCATTAGTTTCTAATTTTATGTCATATGTTGAACACTGAGGTACAAAAGAAAATCTCTTTGACACTTTTTTCTGGTAAAATCACCCTTTCTATTCCATAATACCTGATGTATGTCTGTCTTTTCAAGACATCAACACTCATTCACATAAATTCTTTCTAGATTAGTGCCATTTTCTACTTCTGTTTTGGTGGAATGGGTATGGAGTAGAGCAGAGGAAGAAGGGGTGATTTGTGTGATGACACTCAGAATCATTGCATCATGTCCCCATAATAATAAAAAAGCATATGATCTTGTAATGGTATTTACTGCTTTAAAATATTCATCTCCTTTCAATAATAAAGGGACAATTATTTACTTAGGAACAAATAATCGCTTCCATCTGGTCAAAAACTACATAGCATTATAGCAAAATATGTAAATGAGCTGAGTAATCATAATATTTCAGATGCTTTTGTTAGAAATTTATTTGATTGTTGGAACCTCATAGTTGACTTATCAGTGAATGTAAATGAGTTAGTATATAACTAGCTCATAGCCCTCATAACTAATAACACAATGTTGTGTTATTAGTTATGAGGGCTATGAGCTGCCTCCTCCAGGTAAGTACAATAAGATCATTGTTTCTTGGAATGTTAGGAAATATTTCATTCTGGATAACCTTATTATCTTTCTTTTGATTAAAATCTTCCTAAACCAAATTTTAAATTTTTCAATCTTATTAAATATGCTTCATTAACTCACTGAGGTCCACACTGGGCAATTTATGGACAAGGGGAAATTGATCCCTTTTCTAAATAGTCCCACACTATTCAATTTCTGAGTATTTTTACCTTTCTTCCGCTTGCTACCAGATTCCTGGAAAACACTGGTTTTATGTGTGTGTGTCTGCTTGTAGTAAGCCATCCCTTTTTCAAAATACAATGCTTCTATAAGATATTGAAAGTCATTTATCTATGTTTGTTAAAATTATGTGTAAATTGAGTCAGTAGGTTCCAAAAATGGCGCATTTAATTTCTTTTCTCAGTAGTATACATAGTGCCCATAAGTGTTTGGACACAGCCACGTCTATTTGGTTTTACAGAACCTTAACTTTTTAAAAATTCCTTTTCATATTTAATTTTTTTAAGTAATAGGAGAGGCAATATCATAAAATATCACATCAACAGAAAAGAAACAACTCTCTTGTATTTGCTGTTGGTTACAACAAAACTTACTTTGGTGTGGCAGTTTTTAACCTTACTTAAAGAAAAGCATATTTGGTAATGTGAACTGTTATTTCATTTTTATTTGACAAGTTTTGTGCTATTAGTGGTGTCAGATTCAATACAGGGCAGTAAGCAAAATTTTAAAAATAATATTATTCCCATTGTCACCTTGAAACAGCAGAGCAGATCAGCTCAGAATCAAATTGGGTAGCAAGCATACTCATTTCTCAGATCAGTACACCTACTTACGTTCCTGCTGTGGTGAGCAAATTTTATACTCAATGTAGTATCAGGTATTGATGAATCTGGTCACAGCTAGAAGAATTTTTTATATAGGGCCTTGCATAGCTGTATGTTGTGGCTGGTTACCTGTTACCAAGGATTAAGCTGTACAGGTTTTGGTTACAGTTACGGAAAAATATGTCCCTTCACTACTTATGAAGCCTTGGGATCTCTTTTCTGTATCACAACTAAAGTACTGCTAGATCTGTGTGTGTGCTATTAGAATGCAAGCCTAAGTTTCCAAGTTGGCAAGATTTCCCAACAAAAAAAAAGATATAGAAAAAAGAGGCCACATCTCTGATTGCCAGTCTAAAATTTGGCTACACTCAGAAGTAGCTTCACATATTGCTTACTAATGTAGATGTTTGGGGGAAGAAGTAGTGCATTGCCAAATTTCAGAAAAAGTAAGTTTTTAACATTAACAAGCTGAGATTTGAGTTTCAAATATATGCCACACTTCATATAGTTTTAATGTTTCCAATTTGTAACTTCATCACATACTCTCTCCCTCTTGGTTTATCAGATATAAAATGGGCAACCAAATGTATCCTCGTGTAATCTGTTAGTGACAGGGAACGTATGACAATTTTGAAAGCAGTGATATAACTCTAGGTAAATGCTATGTCTACTAATTATAGTTTCTTAATTTTCATAGCTATATTATGAAAAGAGTAAATTGAAGAAATGGAAACTGCAAATTACACCAAGGTGACAGAATTTGTTCTCACTGGCCTATCCCAGACTCCAGAGGTCCAACTAGTCCTATTTGTTATATTTCTATCCTTCTATTTGTTCATCCTACCAGGAAATATCCTTATCATTTGCACCATCAGTCTAGACCCTCATCTGACCTCTCCTATGTATTTCCTGTTGGCTAATCTGGCCTTCCTTGATATTTGGTACTCTTCCATTACAGCCCCTGAAATGCTCATAGACTTCTTTGTGGAGAGGAAGATAATTTCTTTTGATGGATGCATTGCACAGCTCTTCTTCTTACACTTTGCTGGGGCTTCGGAGATGTTCTTGCTCACAGTGATGGCCTTTGACCTCTACACTGCTATCTGCCGACCCCTCCACTATGCTACCATCATGAATCAACGTCTCTGCTGTATCCTGGTGGCTCTCTCCTGGAGGGGGGGCTTCATTCATTCTATCATACAGGTGGCTCTCATTGTTCGACTTCCTTTCTGTGGGCCCAATGAGTTAGACAGTTACTTCTGTGACATCACACAGGTTGTCCGGATTGCCTGTGCCAACACCTTCCCAGAGGAGTTAGTGATGATCTGTAGTAGTGGTCTGATCTCTGTGGTGTGTTTGATTGCTCTGTTAATGTCCTATGCCTTCCTTCTGGCCTTGTTCAAGAAACTTTCAGGCTCAGGTGAGAATACCAACAGGGCCATGTCCACCTGCTATTCCCACATTACCATTGTGGTGCTAATGTTTGGGCCATCCATCTACATTTATGCTCGCCCATTTGACTCGTTTTCCCTAGATAAAGTGGTGTCTGTGTTCAATACTTTAATATTCCCTTTACGTAATCCCATTATTTACACATTGAGAAACAAGGAAGTAAAGGCAGCCATGAGGAAGTTGGTCACCAAATATATTTTGTGTAAAGAGAAGTGAAAGATAAATTATACATTTTATAGTTCCCCTGAGGATCATTGTCCTAAAGCAGGAAGTATTTGCAGTAATAATGCTGCATTGACTTCCTCCTTTCATTTGTGTTATTAAAATTTTACTATAATTTTTCTCTATTCATTCCTCTTTATATTGAAAAAATAGAGGCATTAAGATGAAAATAAATTTACTCACACCTACCCTGAAATTCCCAACAGATCATTATTAGAATTTGAGATATAATAATCTGCTAAAGTACATTTTAACTAATTGTTTATTGAGTACTCTGCAGAGGCTCTGGCTTTGACGGGAACATGTTGAGAAAAATAAATAAGACATGAGACGTGTCTATTACAAATATGAAGTAAATGGCAAGCATATGGATGCAGCTAGCTTCAAGTTAGCAAATAAATATTGTTGTCATGTTTCAGTGTTGGCTCAGTGGAATGGTATCTGGTCAACATCTTGCTGGGTCTGGAAAAACAGATTATTTGTCCTTTATCTCCTCTTATTTCCAGAGTTGATGGAAAATGAGGATTTTCCATCAACTTATAAACTGAAATACCTTATAAAGGTATTTCAGTTTATATTTCAGGTGGTGTCTATTCAACAGTTTGGAGACAGAACTCAAAATTTTATCACATTATGAAAACAATTTTTATGAATTCAAAGCAGAGTATAATTTGGCTGATACATGAGATTCATGTCATTCCAGATGAAGCCTCCAGGCAACTAGCAATTTTTGTAGCCAGTCCCTACTTACATCCTTCAGAGTGAAAGCAGCCTTGGGGAGAAAGCTTCTAGGTTGACTGGGATTGGTAGACATCTAGCCGTGTAATTTTTTTCTAAACTATCATCTCCTTTGCCACTTTTGTATGTTTTCCATAATTGCTAATTCTGCCTCTCATGTTAAACTTAAATTGGTAGAGTGCTGTTTTTGTTAGTGCTTAATTCAGAGTTCTTTCCCATTGACAGACCTAGACGTATTGGTTCCCATGATCCCTTAGAGAATTATTAGGGACTGATTTCCTATTCTCAAGCACTAAAAACTCACTCTCCAAGCTTCAGAATGTAAGAGGTAGATTAGAACATTTGATTTTATAGGTTATGTTTTTACTTAAATTTATTAGTTTTTAATTTCAAAACTAGGGAATCTTTTCATTGAAGGGCAAGAATGCATTGGGTATATTAATCTTTAGTCTTCTTTTTTAAATTTGATAATGTAATATGGACTAAATTTTAAGTGAATTAGATCCTTGTCAACATTGGGAATGAATATATAGAAACAAATGGTATAACTATTCCTAGAGTTACTATTTATTTACAGATATATTATTTATTAATTGAGGAGGTAATTTGTGCCAGACCCAGTGTATCTCAGATGCACAGGATGGAATGGTGGTACACAAAGCTTGTTTTTTGCTTTGGGAATTTTTCCTTATGGTGACCTTCTTCGATCTTCAATGCTATGTTGCTTCTCTTCTAGGAACCCAAAGGCACAGATTGACGTTATAAGTCCTGATTTTTGACTTGACTTCTCATCACCTGGAAGTGAATAAAGCAGTAGACTTCTCTAACATTTTGTAACACAGCATGAAAAAATATAGAGTACAAAAGATATATATATATAATATGATAAAATGATGAGTTACGTTTCTAAATCTTTTATCATCTTACTGTCATTTCTCTATATTTGGTCTAGCCAGACTTCTATTCATTTTGTCACTTATCTTTCATCAAACTAGGGCTGATGCTCTTGGGAAAGGGACCACTGATTTGATATGCTCTTCAAACACCAGCACACTGTACTATATAGAAAGATATTCACTGAAAATACTGAAGCTAGTAATACAAAGGAAAAAGGCATAAAAATAGTGTGATAACTAATTGCTTACTTAAGAATATTATCTGAAATTAGAAACTAATATCAATGAAGAAAAGGGGAACTTTTGGCAAACTCTAGTAAGTAATAACTGAGCCTGATTCATGGAGGCCATAATTGGAATAAGGACTGAGAGCAATTTCACCCCTTGGAGGACATTTGGAAGTGCCCAGAGACATTTTTGGTGGTCACAACTGAGGACATATATTGGCATCTTGTACTGTTTAGACATCTTACAATGCACAGGACAGCCCCCAGCCCCTGACTCCCACATGGATTATCTGGCCCAAAATGTCAATAGTGCCAAGAATAAAGAACTCCATCAGGTTGAGAAACTCTGACTTAAATAATGGGCAGGGATAAGGCAGGTTAGTGTAGAAGAAATAGGTGTTAACCTCATATGCAATCTTGTCTCATTGAATATTGTTTCCAAATAGCTCAGGATCCTCAGCAGTCAAATACAAAATATGCTTCAGGACTCCTTTTCCCTATATAACTCCTATATTTTCTTTCAGTTACTTTTAAATGTCTTTTAATCTCTTTTTTTTTCTTTCAGTCTCTCCTACTCCTCTTTCTTTCAAAACTGCTGCTGAGCTACTATGTTTAAAATCAGCAATATCTCGGTTGAGTATATTATCTTTAGCTCAGTATTGTGATTATACTTTCAATTATACACTGACTTGTGTGAAACTTTAGAACCCAAGTCCCATTCATCTTCTGGCTTTTTGCTAATCTCAATATTAACCAGAATTGTATTATTATATCTGGTTAAAAGAGAGCTTTATTGCTCAAACAAAATTAAAGTTCTTCTGTTTTTTTAATTACTAAAATAATATATATTCATTAAAAGTTAAAAACATATGAATATATAAAGAACAAAACAAGTATCACTGGCAATCTCTTTTCTCAGGGATTTTCTTCAACAAAGTTTATAAAGTCTCACCCCTCCAACTCCATTGGAAGCAGACCAGTTGGCCTATCATGCATTGTTCCAAAATATAATTACCATTAAATAGAGGTCCAGGTGAAGACAAGCTACAACATGCTTACATAAATAAGTATAACCCTCAGATTTTATATCCCACAAAACTGGCATTTAAATAAACAGGCCACAAAGTTTTAAATATGCAACAAAAATCTGTGAATGTTGTTTTTAAGACCTCTTTGATGAAATTATCAGAGAACAAATTACAGTCAAACATGTGACTAGGACAAAAGGCTGGGTTTCTGACACACACACACACATATATATATACATATATATATACACACACATATATATGTATATAGATATACACACATATATATGTATATAGATATACACACACATATATATGTATATATATATATATATATATATATATACACAGTAGTCCTCTTTTATCCATAGGAGATATGTTCCAAGACACCTGTGGATGCCTGAAACCATGGATAGTACCAAACCCTATATATACCATGTTTTTCTTATACATATATGCCTATGATAAAGTTTAATTCATAAATTAGGCACAGTAACAGATTTATAACAACCAATAATAGAATAGAACAATTACAACAATATGCCAACATTACTACTCTTGCACTTTGGGGCCATTATTAAATAGAATAAGGATTACTTGAACACAAGCACTGTGATGCTGTGTCTAACTGATAACCAAGGTGGCTACTAAGTGATAACGTGCAGGTGGCATGTATAACATGGATACACTGGACAAAGGGATGACTCATGTCCCTGGAAGGATGGAGAAGGACAGCTTGAGATTTCATCCTGCTACTTAGAATGGGGCATAATTTAAAGCTTATGAATTGTTTGCTGCTGGAATGTTCCATTTAACATTTTTTGGACTGAAGTTGACCATGGACAACAGAAACTACAGAAAGCAACACTGTGGGTAAGAGGGGGCTACTGTATTTAATCTAGTATTAGGCTTATTAAACTATAAAGACTACTAAGCAGACGTTGAAAACAGAGATCGTCTTCAAGGGAAAGGCAGTCAGGATAATATCTCACTGGTTTCCTTCCTTCCTTCTTTCCTTTTTTTTTCCTTTTCTTTCTTTCTTTTTTTTTTTTAAGCAGAGTCTCACTCTGTATCCCAGGCTCCAGGGCAGTGGCTCGATCTCGGTTCATTAAAGTCTTCGCCTCCCGGGTTCAAGCAGTTCTCCTGCTTCAGCTTCTTGAGTAGCTGGGATTACAGGTCCATGCCACCATGCTCGAGTAATTTTTGTATATTTAGTACAGAAGGGGTTTTGCTATGTTGGCCAGGATGGTCTTGAACTCCTGGCCTCAAATGATACACCTGCCTCGGCCTCCCAAAGTGCTGGGACAGGCATGAGCCACGGGACCCGGCTGATCTCTTTTCCTTAACAACAAAAAAGTAAACCAGTGAAGAGTTATATTATGACAAGAGAAAAGAGTTTTTATCTCAGTGAAAATATAATCAAATAAGAGCATCTTCAGAGCTGGATTATACTCCTAAATGTAGTAACTAGAAATATAAAGTATCTAGAAGAAAACACAGAATAATATATTTGCTTACACAATTGGAATAAGCAATGATATCTTAAGCAGCACAAAAGCAGGTGTAATAATAAAAAGTGATCAAATGAACCTCAAAAAATTAAAAATTACTGCTCGTCAAGATACACTATCATCAAATTATTAAGGAAATCATACACTGGGAGGAAAATTTGGTCTCTCTTAATCTCCCTGTTTCTCTCTGTCTTCAAGTAAAGAAAAATCAGCAAAAAATTTGAACAGACACTCCAGAAAAGAAGATACAGAAGTGATCAGCAAGTTCACGAAAAGATGCACGTCATTACTCAGCAGGGAATGGTCCACAACACACGATCAAGTGTTCAGGCAGAGCGCTCTCCCACTACTCTGAGGAACAGAACAAAATAGCAGAGAAGGAAAAGAGGAAGGGGTTTATCAAGTGCCCCAGGAACATATAACATACTGGAGACTAGACACGTCCATAAAAATGACTCAGTTTCCCCATTGCTTGTTAGTGCTGCCTGGTCAGTGGGCCAGATTCATCCATGGCACTAGGAAGGCAGTCAGTTCTCATCCCCTTCGGACGAATCTTTCTAGAAACTGATATAGCCAATTACCAATACATCCTCACCCTCACGTGCTCTCTCCTGGACTCCGGATGCTCTACCAACATGAAGAAATATATTGAGTGCCTCCAGGTGCTCAGTCCCAGGCACTTGACACTCTAGACTATGCAGCAGCGCTGGGAGGACTCAGCTTTCCGAGCTCCACAATTTTATGTTGGGAGCCTGTGGCAACTACTGACAAAAACAATGTAGCTGCCATCAAGATGTAGTTCTTGTCTGCTGCACTGTTTTAAAGGTGCCCGGTATTTATTTTAATCAGGAATGGTAAGACACACTGTCATGGAAATGACTGTCATGAAGGAAGAAGTTTTTAGACTCACAAATCCCTAGAAATAAGAGGTTGGTTAGGTGAGTGGGGAAATGAGAAAAATGTGGGTAAGAGCCTTTATCATGGTTTCTGTGGAAATAGATGGATGGGGCAGGATAAACAGGTTTAGGATTGGCTAGATTGAATAATTCCAGTGGGCTCTGGAGGATAGGGGCTGTCTCTAAGTGTCTGGCACTTGGCCCTGGGGTGATTAGGGAAGGCAAATAGTGGCCTGGAGTGTAATAGCGCTATAGGTGCCTGATAAAAGAAGCGGCTGGAGTATGGTTTCTAGATTGGTTGCAAGTGAGGCTTTTACCATCTCTAGGAATTGGCTAGCCATAAGAGGGATAGTTCCTCCAGTGTTAGGAAGGCACAAGACATTAAAGCATTAGAAATGCAGAAAATATAATGGCATAAGTAAAACACAACACCAAATGTTGGTGAATTAATTGTTGGAATAACTTGAACTCTCATACATTGATGTTGGGAATTTACAATGGCTAACCACTCTGAAAAACTTAATAGAAACTTCAGGTAATTTCAGGTAGATGTAAACAAACAGCTACCTTATGACCTGATAATCCCATTCGTGTTTAGCTAAGACATGTCTATGAAATGATTTAAATTCGCATGCTAATGAAAACCTTATTGGTGGCCTAAGATTTGAAACAACCCAAATGTCCATAAAAGGATAAAATGATAATAAACAAACTTAGGGTTAAGTATATAATGAAACATTAGTCCGCAGTAAAAAGAAACAACTACAGAAAATGCAACAATACGCATGAATCTCTAAATCGTAATGCTGAGTTTAAAAGCCAGATACAAAATAACACATGTCATATGCTTCTGTTTTTATAAAATCCAAGAAAAGGTAAAACTAATCTATGCTATTAGGAATTAAAAGATGAAAGCTCATTATGATGTTAGATGGTGGGGGTGGATGGCAAAGATCACAAGAAACCTTTCTGGAGTGACGGAAATATTCTTTATCTTGTTTAGAATACTAGTTTCTAAAGTGCATATATTTAACAGAAGTTACTACGTTGAACACTTAAATGTGTGTATTTTAATGTATATACATTGTATTCTAAGAAATACAACCAAGAATTTATTTTCATGCTTGCTTGTAAATACAGATAAATTTCTTGAAGGATACAAAAATTAATATTAGCTTCCAATTTTGAGGTATGGGGTGAAATGGACATATAGGGGACAGATATAAGAAGGAAATTTCTCACTGTATGAATTATTTTTTATTTAAAAATGTAAATATATTACCTATTCAAAAATTAAATACATTTTTAAAGTCAAGTATATTTAAAGTACACTGCCTAATTTCCAACCTTATGGTAATGCCATTAAAAATTCTGAGTTATTCTTGCTTCCATACCTCTCATATGCAGTCCTTCAATAAGTCCCATTGATTATCTCTCCAAAGTTTATCTTTGGTATAAATTCTTCTGTCTTCTTTTTTACCTCTTATCCTAACCTACCAACATCTCTTATTTATATTAATAGTTCTTCAAATGCTCCCTACTGTTTCCCTTGCCTCCACTTCTTGCATTTTATAGCCCGTTTTTCACTTAGTACCTGGCACAACATTTTAAACATGTAAATCAGGTAGGAACACTCCTCTGCCTGTTACATCTCACACATAGTATGTTGACCGATTGCCATTTGGCCCATATTGGCTCTACCTCTCTATCTTCCCTTACAATTTTTTCCATTTGCTCACTACTGTCTTGCCACACTAGCCTCCTTTCTGCTTCTCAATGCACCAGTCTCTCCCTTAATGAGCTTTCAACAAGTCTATCTTCAGATCTTCCCAGAGACGGTGTAGTTCTGTCATTCAGATCTTAGTTGAAATGTTGCCACCTTGTCAGAAAGGCCCTCCCTGGCCAGCTCACTTGGAATAGTAGTCTCTTCCGCTTTCTCTTATATTTTTATCATAGTGCTCATTACAATCAGTTGTTTTCTCTCTGGTATGTTTGTTTGTTGTCTGTTTCCATGCTTTAGGATGTAAAATCCCCAGGAACAGGGATATTTTCTGTCTTGTTCGGTGCTGCATTGCAGACACTACAATACAGCCTGGTACATGGTTTTAGTTTCTAAGATAGTCTAGGGAGACAAATCTTTCCTAGCAGGAATAACAAGCCTTCATTCTAAGGATTAATTTAGATCATTAGACTATCTTCACTTTAAGTATTGTGGAAAACATTAGGAAGCAAAGTCCCTAACTATGTCTACAATTATGAAAAAATCATATTTTAAAAAATCTTTGGTAGCAAGAAAGACTATAATATACTCAAAAATGGGAATGTTTTTCCATGTGTTTCTTTACTTATATCACTTCTTTTCTGTTTCTTTTAAGAAAGTAAACACTGCACTTTTTAGTTTATTTGGTGTATATAGTTTTACAAAATATGCATTTTTGTGCCTGGCTTTTTATTTCCTATTATTCCATTACTGTCTTTGCATTTGTTCCTGTTCTTGCATTTCTCCCCCCCGGTTTTTTTACCTTTATGATTTTGTGTATCTCTTTCTCCCTTTTTCTCTTTTCCCCATGTTCCATTTTTCCCACTTATTATTTTCTGAATTGGACATAAATTAGAACAAAATATTATTGATTATGCATTATATTTGTTGAAAAACTGTTTATTAATTTTTAAAATAAAAAATCTTTTTAAAATAAAAATAAATCTACTGAAATTTAATTATATTGTGTTCTACTATGTGATTCTTAATTACTTTTCTTCTGTCTAGTAATATTTACTTAAAAAAATAGTTGTCTTTGCTTTAGTGGAACATAGGAGACACTTATTCCTAAAATGAAAACAACAAAGGCCAAGACCACAATAGGGTGTATTTAAGAATACATCTCTTTGTGAGGAATTAGTCCTTCAATATGCAGTTCTCGTCTCCAAGAAGGATTATGTCAAAGAGTCTTTGTGAACATCATTTATTTTTCTTTGCCTATTTCTTTGTCATCAGAAATATGTTGAATTTACCATACTACCTACCTGACCACATTACTTCTTTTCTTGATCTATCAATGATTTCCTATTATACACTTTTTTAAAAAAAATAGTAACGTAAGAAATAAAATAACCTCTTTTGGCTTTCTGCCCACATGGACCTAGTAAACATGCTGACTATTCTGTAATATGTGTCACTGATAGAATGTTGATTTTAAAACTTAGAAGTAACATAGTGACTTTTAAATCATATATACTTCACTATTTATATATAACATGTTTCTAGTCTCATTCTTTGACTATATTTTGTTGGCATTTTAACAATTCCCTTTGAAAGTGTTTGCAGCTTTGTTAGCCTTCAAATTCCCAAAGTACATTCTCCATTGCATCACAAATTGGTTGCATAAGAGATTCCTCTGTGAGAAGAGATATTTAACAATGAAGTCAGGAAAAATTAGTTATTGTTCCTTCTATTAGAAGGAGGTGATATCTGCTGTTTGACAGGAGCATTAGATTACTAGAGAGGTAAATGTTTTTCCATTCTCCATATTTATAAGGAACATAAGGAAGAAATGGAAACATATTGTAACACCTCAGGTGGGACATCTGCTGCCTTGAAATGCAAAGATCAGAATTATAGTGATTATATAGGTTATGGGTTTCAAACTAGAAATAGATTAATATGTTTAATCTGAATTCAGTAATACAGTAGCACCTTTTACCTGGTCTTAATAATATAGCCCCAGTTTCTCCTAATATTTAGAATTAATTTATTGGGAATATATAAAGCCTTTATTAACATTGCCTTGGGAATGTTTATACTTGGTCCTAAACCTATAGCTATTAACTGAAAGACGTGAGGGAACAGAAGTCATATCCAATGCAGAAATGCTAGGCTGCAGAAGAAATCTTCACCAACTTCACGATTTTGCAGGAGACTAGCTCTGTCTAGTTCCCACACCTGCTGGGATGAGAGGTTCTTTTACAAAGAGTCTTACCATATACCAATCTGGGGCTTTGACAGCTGGCTGAAATGAAGCCTTCATAAATTCTTTTCTAGTAATTTCTTACATTAACATAGCTACCTTTACCCCAGCAACTCATTTCAAAGGCAGGGACAGAGGATCTATATTATATATTTACTTCTTAGAAACTAAAGCCCCTCTTAATATCTACATTTTTTCCTTGTTTAGTTTTGGTTTAGTCAGACTTCAATATGCTACTTATTGCTATCATTCTCATATTATATTCATAAATCAACACAGTGAGATAAAATAACTCAGGCTAAGGAAGATGACCTTCCCAAGATCTCACGGTTAAAAAAATTGCACAATGAAGAACTTAAACCCAGATAGATGCCCAAACGAGGGCTTTTTAAATGACATCCATTACTTTGCCTAGAAATCATGGCATTATAAACATTGGTATCAGTTAATGATTTGATGATACTCTAACTTTATCCACATTTCTCAGAACACACAAAAAATTAATGATTATATAGGTTATGGGTTACAAATTAGATAGCACATATTAATAGACATCACATTCTTATTCTTATTTTGGGAACATTTCTAAAATGTGTTTTTGCTGGTAGGGTGGATTAATGAGAAATTTCTTTCAAGCAGAAAGGTGAATAGTGCCACTTTTATTAAGATCAGTTATAAACAGACAAAATATTTGAGGTAATGGGAAATAATTTAAAAGTATTTACACAGTATATTTTAAGTAGGATACTATTCAAGGAAAGTAATTTAGTACTGAAAGATGGGTTAGGTATTTTTAACCCTTACAAAAATTGGAGTGAAGAAACTTCATGTGCTGTCCTTACTACTGTTTCAAAAGAAAACAATAGTGATGCTTCTCAGAATTAATGGGAAGGCAAACATGAGATCTAATAAAGGAGAAATGAATAGAGAAGAAGAGAGAGTGGAAAAATATTGGAAACTGCAAGAACATTGAGAAGTAAAAACAACAAAGGAGAAAAAATAGAAGAGATAAGAGAAAAGCAAGGGGAATCATTAGAGAACAAATACGAGAGAGAAAGAGAAGATAAAATAGAGAAAGAGAAACCAACTTAAGTAAAAGTATAACTTAAAAAATGAAGTGTAGAAATATTTAGCGAGATGGGAGGGGAAGATAATAAAATAAATATTTTAAAAGGAGGCATGAGGAAATATAAAGAAAAATGAGTGAATTAGTGCCTGTGGATGGGAATCAAATCTCCAAATACCTGCTCCATGAACTTTTTAACAAGAGCCTGGACTCTAAACGTGAACAGTGCATAGCGCAGCCTTTATCTGGAATGTGTGTGTGCCCCCACCCATCACTCTTTCCTCTTCTGTGCTGCTCCAGCATTGTCAGGAACAGATGAAATTTTGTTTCTGTTGAAATTGAAATATAGGATAGAGGGAGTGGCAGTCATTCAGATTTCTATTTCAGCTTCCACTGACAGTGATCCTTCTAACATTGTTATGTTCTTCTAATATAGTTAGACAAGACCAAGCTTGTCTTTGCAGGAATTTCTGTGCTTTTATTTTGCTAGGACTTACTTCATTTTACCTAGAGGAATGTCCACCTTATGAATATATATATTTGGTTTCTGGATCCATAATGAGCATGATGTGAGCACTATCCATATAACAAAAGAGCTTAGAGGGAAGCACACAAAGGGAACACAGTGAATCAAAGATATTTGATGGTAGAGGGTTCCAGATGTTACAGAGTCAGTAGGAGAACAGAAGTGGATAACAGGGAATAAAATGCAAGGTACAGTGCAAGAACCTGAAACTCCCAATCTCAGAGATACTTGAAAGTTTCTTCTATGACCCAAATACATCCTCAATTTTTGAAAGAGTATGAAATAACCAACTGCATAATAACATGCAAGATGTACACAACTTAAGAGTAAGCAGAGAGGGATTCCCGACTTTTCTATTAGCAGGTTTTATATGCACAGAAAGACTGATAAATATTAAGGTCAATAAATGGCCAAGTGCCAAAAAAAAAAAAAAAGAAAAGAAGAAGGGTATCATATGTAAAATTTTATGCTTCTGTTTTGGTTAGGATACGTGTGTTTGCGTGTATTTATTTGTGTCTGTGTGATGTACATACATGTGATGTAAGATACTTTTTTCTGTTTGAGACAGAGTCTTGCTCTGTCACCCAGGCTGGAGTGCAGTGGTACAATATGGACTCACTGCAACCTCCACCTCCCAGGTTCAAGCGACTCTCATGCTTCAGCCTCTGAAGTAGCTGGGACTACAGGCTCCTGCCACCACGCCCAGCTAATTTTTATATTTTTAGTAGAGTCAGGGTTTTGCCAGGCTGGTCTCGAACTCTTGGCCTCAAGTGATCCACCTGCTTTGGCCTCCAAAAAGGGTGGGATTACAGGTGTGGGCCACAGTGCCTGGCCTAGGTACTTCTTTCATAATTCCCAATTCTGACCATACCTGAAAACCTCTGCTATTAATTAATATATTAGGATTAGATATATTTTGAAAAGCATATCTTTTGATGTTTTAAATAGATGTGCCATTATAAATATTTTCTTTGATTTCTTAATTCGGGACTTTATTGTTTTTGTTTCCCTCTCTTCTTACACACCGACTCCTCATTCAGTTAGTTAATGAACCTCTTTCCCTCTACGCTTCATAGTCCACATTATTTTAAAACAAATGTGCTGTGTAACAGAAGCATATGAAATATTTTTCTGTATCACATTGTAGTATTTTGTTCTAGCTCAAGATCTTTAGCTTTTAAATTTTTTTATTTCAACCACAAACCATTTTTTGAACATGCACCAAAAACATACGTATCTTCTTTATGCATTTCATATCCAATTACATCATGATTCTATATAAATGTAAAATGTTCAAAAATAAAACTTCAAACAATAGGATACAATAATGTAAGTGTAGAAATTCTCCTATTATTGCTTTCATACCAATAAATTATCATGCACATCCCCAAGCATGAGCACAGTCTCAATTTGGAAGCCACTGTACAGAGAAGCCTCAGATCTTGTTTTCTCCAGAGTGACTGAGAGCTTTTTATTTAGACCAGTTCATTTGGTTGATGTTCTATAGAGAAAAGGGAATTATTTCTGGTAAGTACAGTTGCCTTTATAAAAGTTTTTAGATAAACATTCCTAAGGTAGCATTTATATAAAATAAATTGTACTAATTGCTGTATAGTTCAATACTCAATAAATTTTGACAAAAATAGATACATATAACCATTATAATTAAAAACGGAACATTTCTGTCCCCTTGAAAAGTTCTGTCATTCTTCTTTGCTGTCAATCCCAGCTCATCTTCCATTCAAAGCAAAACATGAAGTCCTCAATAACTGGGGTTAAGTTTTTTCTCAGTCAGAAAAATTTTCATATGCCTCATACAAATCAGGAACAAATTCAGAGCAGTAACATCCAAGTCTCACATGAGTGAACACTTAAACAGAAGCACAGGACTGAAACAGAAGAAAGAGTGTGGCTTCAGGACCAGGGTGTTGGCTATCATGAAATGAGGAAGCATAAACAGTAGAAGTGATTTCTTAGGTTGTTGAGATAGATAGAATAATATAAATGTGGCATACCTTGTGTTTAGTTCAAGAACTATAATCTAGATGTAACACCTGAAAATAAACTCTTTTATTGATATTCTACAGGCAGAAGAAATGAAGATAGCAAACAACACAGTAGTGACAGAATTTATCCTCCTTGGTCTGACTCAGTCTCAAGATATTCAGCTCTTGGTCTTTGTGCTGATCTTAATTTTCTACCTTATCATCCTCCCTGGAAATTTTCTCATTATTTTCACCATAAGGTCAGACCCTGGGCTCACAGCCCCCCTCTATTTATTTCTGGGCAACTTGGCCTTCCTGGATGCATCCTACTCCTTCATTGTGGCTCCCAGGATGTTGGTGGACTTCCTCTCTGAGAAAAAGGTAATCTCCTACAGAGGCTGCATCACTCAGCTCTTTTTCTTGCACTTCCTTGGAGGAGGGGAGGGATTACTCCTTGTTGTGATGGCCTTTGACCGCTACATCGCCATCTGCCGGCCTCTGCACTGTTCAACTGTCATGAACCCTAGAGCCTGCTATGCAATGATGTTGGCTCTGTGGCTTGGGGGTTTTGTCCACTCCATTATCCAGGTGGTCCTCATCCTCCGCTTGCCTTTTTGTGGCCCAAACCAGCTGGACAACTTCTTCTGTGATGTCCGACAGGTCATCAAGCTGGCTTGCACCGACATGTTTGTGGTGGAGCTTCTAATGGTCTTCAACAGTGGCCTGATGACACTCCTGTGCTTTCTGGGGCTTCTGGCTTCCTATGCAGTCATCCTCTGCCATGTTCGTAGGGCAGCTTCTGAAGGGAAGAACAAGGCCATGTCCACGTGCACCACTCGTGTCATTATTATACTTCTTATGTTTGGACCTGCTATCTTCATCTACATGTGCCCTTTCAGGGCCTTACCAGCTGACAAGATGGTTTCTCTCTTTCACACAGTGATCTTTCCATTGATGAATCCTATGATTTATACCCTTCGCAACCAGGAAGTGAAAACTTCCATGAAGAGGTTATTGAGTCGACATGTAGTCTGTCAAGTGGATTTTATAATAAGAAACTGAGAAGGAGGAATTCTGGCTGGAATTCATATCATTCATTTAACAAGTCCTGTTTTTCACTGAGTACCTCCCATTTGCCAGGTACCATTGTAGGCAATGGAGGAGAGTTATGCATAATGAGAGAATAAACTTATTATATTTAAAGAATATAAAGGAAACCCCAGAGTGGTTGAAGTATAATGAGTAAGTGTGAGAAATTTAAGGGTTAAGTTTTATGTGACTGCAAGGGTCTTTCGGTCTGAGGTAAGAATTTTTTCATATTTTAATTGTGGTAAGAACCCATTTTAATGTTTTAAGCAAAGGAGCAGTTCATCTACAATGCTTTCCTCTACTGGTTAGAGCAACATCAGCAAGATTTTAGGCAGAGATTAATAAACTGTAAAATATCAAAAACCAAATGTATGTTGCAAGTATGTTATGAAAAAGACTATAGTATTTTATATATATAAATATATTAAAATTATATATATTTTAATGTTTTTATATATATTTTATATATATGTATATTTACATATATATAAAATAAGTAATATATTTTTATATATTTATAAATATATATTTTTATATATTTATAAATATATATTTTTATATATTTAATCAATATATAAATAAATATATATTTCCCCCCCAAAATTTGGTGGCGAGATAAGAAAGGAAGCCAATTTGTTTCATGGTAAAATGTCATGAAATTATTTCACTTATTTTTTCTTCAGAGCTTCACGATGATTATTAGACATTATTAGATATTTAGTACTTCAGATTGTATTACAGATTACATAAATCACTCCAGTTATTTTCAACATAGTGAAGCAGCTTCGTTGTCTGGGGAAATACCTGCAGTTCGTTGTCTTGTGCTGTGCCGATTAATGACACAGACTCACACACGGAGTGGGTTAAGGAACAGAAAGTTTATTAGGCAAGAAGGAAGAGAAGAGCTTCCCCATACAGAGGGAGAAGCACTCTGAATGGAGTAACCCCACTTGTGGGGAAAGCAGTCAGTTATATTGGGAGGCTCAGGGAGGTAGTGTCTGATTTGCATAGGGCCCAGGGGATTCCTTTGACCAGGTGTGTCATTCACACAACCCATGAAAAGACTGGCCCTCCCACCCTAATCTTTTATTCTGCAAATGCGGCTTCTACCTGGCTGTCACCATGATGCCTGCACATGTGGCTTTACTTGGCTGGTGCCATGACAACTGCACATGTGGCAACAAAGGAAAGTGAGCGGGAAGAGTCATATTGAGTGGACCTGGCTGTTAGCCACCTGCATTTACTTCTGCAAGCCTGTAATTTACATACCTATGCTTCCAGCATGGCTTTTCAGGCTGCTTTCTGTTAGAAAAGAAATGGTTTGGGGGCTGCTTTTTTATTAAAAGGAAAAGCCTTTCTGAGGACTCTTTTACCCTTTCTAGCTGCCTAAAAATAATTTCTTAATAACTCCTGTATTAATAGTGGGGTCTAATGTGAGAAATTAGGTACTTATAAAATTTTTCAAGTATAGAAGACCATTATTTATGCTGGGCATCTATTATAGAAATTGTTACCAGAAAAACACTGTAGAACTAACCTGCTAAGTGACCTATCCCTGCCATAACCAGGAGACTGAGAGGACAAGAAACCACTTTCCCAGCTCTTGGCTCAGGGAACACATCAATCAGCCATGGTCTGGCATGAAGAGAATTGTAGAGAGCACCTCTCATGTTATTGTCTCTCTAATTATTTTTTCTAAATTAAATTTTGTATGAGTATATTTGATAGAATCTGTAATGGTAGTGGCAAAAGTCTTTGACAAACCTGTCTGTGTGTTGACAGCTTCTTCAGAAAGCAAACAAAAATGGTGGTAAAATATAGGATAAAAAGTTTGCAATCTTGGAGGTGAGAAAGGCCATTGAAGTTTGACAAAGAAAATGAAAATAAAAAGATGTATTAAATCTTGATATCTGCTACATATTTTGATATGTAAAAATGAAAAAAGTTTATATGGGCAAAAGGCAGAAAAACGCTGAAAATATTTCTATGGCATATAGATGTGGAGATTATTTTCTGCATGATTATAAGGTTTGCATGTAAATTGAATATTTTTTCCCTACTCCAAGATTGTATGAGAGGGCATCCATGAATAAAAATTAAAATAAAAATTACTAAAAATCGATATAAACGATAAAAATTTATCTAATACATAAATAATTTGCTTAAATGAATATGAAATAGGTACATAGAAGGAAATGTGGGCAATGAACAAAGGAAAAAAACGAAAAGGCTTATAAGCATGAAAGTAAGCTTACCCTTAAAAATCAACCACAGAAATGAAAACCACTGATTTTGATTAGCATGTAGGATAATGTTGCTCATGTATTATCAATAAAAAAGTACAGAATAGGGTGAGGTGCCAGAAGCAGCTATCATGTGCCACTCATGGAGAGGGAGACAGGGTGGTGAGTAAACACTAGCTCTTCACATGGATCGTCCATGAGGCCATGTTAGGATTCATCAAGGAAGCAACTGCAATCGATGGACAGCAGAAAGGGGCCAGGCAGGAAAGCAGTCCACCCAGGATTGGCATAGAGCCAGGTGAGGCTCCCTACCATAGGGAAAGGGTGAATAAGAACCTCCTGGGACCCACACTTCTGCCATGGGCCTCTGCAATCCTGGCACAGGAGATCTCCCGTGACCCCGAGGGGCTTCCAGACCAACACAGAGAGATTACTGGAGTCTGGGCAGAGCTGCAGCTAGGGTCACCTGGAGCCCCATGAGCCGTGGGGCCCTGAGCACCTTGGTGCCAGCTGCCATAGCCACACCAACAAGGGAGGCCAGCTCTCTCGCATGCCCCTAGAATAGGGGCTGCATCCACGGTGCTGAGGAGCAGACTGACCGCAGGCCCCGCTTGCTTCATCAAGCCAGGCAAAGCCCACTGGCCTGGGTCGCCCACGCAGCCACCCCACTCCCACCTGAGCACTCAGGCCAGTCAGGCTCTCCATTTCTTTGGAAAGGAACTCCCAGAGGTAACCAATAGGCCTGAGATTTCTGGTACTGTGGTCTCCCACATGCCGCCCTCAGGCTGGGGAGGGATCGAAGAGCGCAGGAACTATCCTAGACCTTCAGCAAGGCATACGAACAGCTGTCATACGGAAAAGTGGCCAGATTATTTTCCACTTGGGTCCCTGTCCCAGCTACTCCTCACTGGGCAGGGCCTCCGAGCCTGGGGTCCCAGCACAGCTACCCCACCCCCACCCGTTCTTTCATTTGGCGGTGGCCCTAAGTTTCTCTGGGGTAGAGCTCCCAGAGACAACCGGCAGGCTCTGTGCCACCACTAGCTGAGTGTAAGGTCCTTCCTTGCTCCCCGCAGGCTAGGTAGGGAACAAAGAGCCTGACTGCAGCTGTCCTAGGGAGAGAAGGCCAGATTGTCTTCCTTGCGAGCCCCTGACCCCGGCTACTCTTCACCAGACACGGCCCGGCTTTGGCCCACAACACAGCCGCCCCACCCCTGGATCCTTCACCTTAGCAGTAGCAGTAGCTCTGGGTGGAGTTGCCAGAGGCAGCTGACAGGCCCTCTGCCACTGCTGCCACCCCCAGGGCTAGGGAGGGAACAAAGAGCCTGCTTGCTGTGCTTGCACATCCAGCATGCCACAGCTGCACTACGGAGAGGAGGTCAGACAGTCCCCCCAACAAGCCCCCGATCCCTCTGCTCTCCACCAGGGAGGGCCCTGGGCTTGCGCCCACAGCACAAACGTCCCATCCCGGGCTGATCATTCTGGTTGGCAGCGGCTCTGAATTTCTCTGGGGTGGAGTTCCCAGAGACAACTGACAAGCCCTCTGCCACCGACACCGCCAAGGTCCCCTTCCCTGCTCCCCCAAGCAGGGGAGGGAATAAAAAGCCCGAACTCGCCCCAGGTCCAACACCAGAGCGGGAAGAGAAACCCACACTCCCAGAGCACCGAGAGGGGTAACCGCATGAGTTCCTGGGCTGCTGTGGGAGCGGGGCGCGCCTCCCTCTGCAGGAGGAGCCTGGAAAAGGTGTGGCCTATCTCCCTGCGGTGGCCTCTGCCTGAGGGAGCCCCGCAGCCTGGAACACCTAGCAAAAGAAATGATGGTGCAGTGCTAGTGATCGGAGGGGGTTCCCCCAAGGCTCAGGAACTGACCTGGTGAGGGGGTCACTTCTTTCCCCGCTGTACGGGAGACCAGGCTGTAGATGTGAGGAAGTACAAAGGAACCACAGGCCTGAGCAAGAGTGTATTTACCGTCCATTACTCTTAAGCGACATCTACTGGATTGCAGCCAAAACTGCTACAACACCAAAAATATTTTGCTAATATCCCCCAGTGAAATCAAAGGCAAGAATCCAGCCACAAATAAAGACCCTGCACAAAGCCTTGGCTATCTGAAAACATTCAGAAACAAAGCCAAGTGACTATACTCAAATTACACCACAGGTAAAGGAACGCCAATGCTTCCAGATGAGAAAGAATCAGTGCAAGAACTCTGACAATTCAAAAAGCCAGTTTCCCCATACCTCCAGATGAGTCCACCAGACCCCAAGCAATGATTTTTTTTATTTGCTTTCCTTATTTGTTTGCTTGTTTGGAGATACCTTTTACTTTTTTAATTTTAATTTTTTAATTTTTAGGTTCAGTTATACATGTGCAGATTTGTTATATAGGTAAATTGCTTGTCATTGGGGTTTGGTGAACAGATTTATCACCCAGGTAATAGGCATAGTACCTGATAGGCAGTTTTCTGATCCTCACCCTTTTCCCACAGTCCAATCTCAACTATGCCCAAGTATGTATTGTTCCCTTCTTTGTGTTCATGTGTATTCAAGGTTTATCTCAAATTTGTAAGTAAGAACATGTAGTGTTTAGTTTTTTGTTCCTATGTTGGTTCACTCAGGAAAATGGCCTCCAGCTCCATGCATGTTGCTGCAAAGGATATGATCTCATTCTTTTTATGACTGCATAGTATTCCATAGTATATTTGTACCATATTTTCTTTATCAAGTTCACCATTGATGGGCATCTAGGTTGATTCCATGACATTGCTATTGTGAATATTGCTACGATGAAGGTACTTGTGCATGTGTCTTTATGGTAGAATGATTTATATTTCTTTGGGTATATGCCCAATAATGGGATTGCTGGGTTGAATGCTACTTTGGTTTTAAGTACTTTGTGAAATCACCACACTGCTACCCATAATGGCTGAACTAATTTATATTCCCACCAGCAATGCATAAACATTCCCTTTTCTCTGCAAACTTGCCAGCATGATCTATGATTTTTTGACTTTTTAATAATAGCCCATCTGACTGGTGTGAGATGGTATCTCATTGTGCTTTTGATGTGCATTTCTCTAATGATTAGTGATGTTGAGCATTTTTTTTCATATGCTTCTTGGCCAAGTGTATGTCTTATTTATTTTTTTTGAGATGCAGTTTCACTCTTGTCACCCAGGCTGGAGTGCAATGGTGCAATCTCGGCCCACTGCAACCTCTACCTCCTGGGTTCAAGAGATTCTCCTGCCTCAGCTTCCCCAATAGCTGGGATTACAGGCACCTGCCACCATGCCTGGCTAATTTTTGTTATTTTTAGTAGAGATGGGGTTTCACCATGTTGGCCAAGCTGGTCTCGAACTCCTGACCTCAGGTGATCCACCCGCCTTGGCTTCCCAAAGTGCTGGGATTACCGGCGTGAGCTACTGCGCCCAGCCTTGACTACTCTTTTTTTTTTTTTTTTTTTTTTTGATGGAGTCTCACTCTGTCACCAGGCTGGAGGGCAGTGGTGCGGGCCCGGCTCACTGCAACCTTTGCCTCCTGGGTTCAAGCAATTTTCCTGCCTCAGCGTCCCGAGTAGCTGGGACTACAGGCGTGCATTTGCAAATACTTTAACCTATTCTATAGGTTGTCTGTTTACTCTGTTGATAATTTATTTTGCTGTGCAGAAGCTTTTTAGGTTAATTAGGTCACATTTATTAATTTTTGCTTTTGTCATCTTTGTCATGAAATCTTTGTCAGGGGCTATGCTGAGAATGGAATTTCCTAGGTTGTCTTCCAGGGTTTTTATAGTTTGGGGTTTCACATTTAAGTCTTTAATCCAGTTGGATTGATTTTCATATATGGTATAAGGGAGGGGTTCAGTTTCCATTTTTTGCATATGGCTACCTAGTTATCTCAGCACCATTTATTGAATAGGGAGTGCTTTTCCCATTGCTTGTTTTTGTCAGCCTTGTTGAAGATTAGATGGTTTTTGTTTTTAGTTCTGTTTATGTGGTGAATCACATTTACTAATTTGCGTATGCTGAACCAACCTTGTGTTCCAGGGATAAAGCCTACTTGATTGTGTTGGAGTAGAGTTTTAATGTGCTGCTGGATTCAGTTTGCTAGTATTTTCTTTTTTTCTTTTTTTTTTTGCTAGTTTTCTTTTTTTGTTGTATCTCTGCCAGGTTTTGGTATCAGAATGATGTTGGCTTCATAGAATAAATTAGGGAGGAGTCCTTCCTCCTCAAATTTTCAGAATAGTTTCAGAGGAAAGGTACCAGCTCTTCTTTATGCATCTGGTAGAACTCAGCTGTGAATTCCTCTGATCCTGGGCTTTTTCTGGTTGGTAGGCTTTTTATTATTAACACAATCTTGGAACTTGTTATTAGTCTGTTCAGAGTTTCAGTTTCTTCCTAGTTCAATCTTAGGAGGTTGTATGTTTCCAATAATTTATTAATTTCTTCTAGTTTGTGTGCATAAAGTTGTTCATAGTAGTCTCTGAGGGTTTTTAAAAAATATTTCTTTGGGGTTGGTGGTAATGTTTCCTTTGTCATTTCTGACTGTGTTTATTTTTATCTCTTCTCTTTTTTGCTTTATTAGTCTAGCTAGTGCTCTATCAATCTGATGTGTTATTCTGAAGAAACAAAACCTGGATTTGTTTATCTTTTGTATGGTTTTTTGCATCTCAATTTCTTTCAGTTCAGCTCTGATTTCAGTTATTTCCCTTCTCTTGCTAGCTTTGGGACTGATTTGCTTTTGTTTCTCTAGTTCCTCTTGGTGTGATGTTAGGATGTTAATTTGAAATCTTTCCAATATTTTGATGTAGTTTTTTTTTTTAGTGATATAAACTTTCCTCTTAATACTGCTTTATCTGTGTCCCAGAGATTTTGATACGTAGTATGTTTGTTCTCATTAGTTTCAAAGAATTTCTTGACTTCTGCCCGAATTTCGTTGTTTACCCAAAAGTCATTGAGGAGAAGGTTGGTTAATTTTCACGTATGCTTTTGATGTATTTTATTGTATTGATTTCAATGTTTATTGCATTGTAATCTGAGAAAGTGTGGTTTGTATGATTTTGGATTTTTTGAATTTCCTGAAAATTGTTTTATGATTGATTGTGTCGTTGATTTTAGAGTATGTGCCATGTGCAGATGAGAAGAATGTATAATATTCTAATGTTTTTGGGTGGAGAGTACTGTAGATGTCTGTTAGGACCATTTTGTCAAATGTTGAGCTCAGTCCCGAATCTCTTTGTTCATTTTCTGTCTCAATGCTCTAATATTGTCAGTGGGTTGTTGAAGTCTCCCAGTAGTATTGTGTGGTTATCAAAGTCTCTTCAAAGGTCTCTAAGAACTTCCTTTATAAGTCTGGGTACTTCTGTGTTAGATGTATATATTCTTAGGATTGTTAGGTTTTCTTGTTGAGTTTAACCCTTTACCATCATGAAATACCCTTGTCTTTTTTGATTGTTATTGGTTTATAGTCTATTTTGTCTGAAATTAGAATCAGACCATTTGCTCTTTTCTGTTTTCTTTGGCTTGGTCTATTTTTTCTCCATCCCTTTATTTTGAGCCCCTGGATATCACTGCATGTGAGATGGGTCTCTTGCAGAGAGAATACAGTTGGGTCTTGCTTCTTTATCTGACTTGCCACTCTATGCCTTTTAAATGCCTTGAAGCATTTAACCCATTTACATTCAAGGTCACTCAAGGTTAGATTGTGTCTTTCCCAGCAATGATTCCTAACCCATAAGAAATTACTGAAATGAGAGACATAGAATTCAGGATCTGGATGTCATGGAAGCTCATTGAGATTCAGGACAAATTTGAAATCCAATCCATGGAATCCAGTAAAATGACAGAAGAGCTGAAAGACAAAATAGCCACTTTAAGAAAGAACCAAACTGAAACTCTCGAGTTAAAAATTCACTAGAAGAAGTTCATAATACAGTTAGAAGTATTAACAGCAAAATAGACCAAGCTAAGGAAAATATCTCTGAGCTCAAAGACTGGTTCTTTGAATTAACACTGTGAGACAAAAATAAAGAAAAAACAATTTTAAAAGTGAACAAAACTTCTGAGAAAGATTATATAAAGAGACCAAATCTACAACTCATTGCCATTACTGAGAGAGAAGGACAGAGAATAAACAACTTGGAAAATAAATTCGACTATATAGTCCATGAAAATCTTCCTAATCTTGCTAGAGAGGATGATATGCAAATCCAAGAAATACAGAGAATCCTGGCTAGATATTGTACAAGATTTACAAGGCACATAATCTTCAGATTCACCATAGTTAATGCAAAAGAAAAGGGATCTAGAAAGAAAGGTCGGGTTATGTATGAAGGGAACTCCATCAGGCTAGCAGCAGACCTTTCAGCAGAAACTTTATCAGCCAGAAAAAATTGGGGGCCTATTTTTAGTATTCTTAAAGAAAATAAACTCCAACCAAGAATTTCATATCCCACCAAACTTAGCTTCATAAGTGAAGGAAAAATAAAATCCTTCTCAGAAAATAAAATGCTAAGGTAATACATTTCAACTTAGCTAGCCTTATAACAGGTCCTTAAGGGAGTGCTAAACACGTGAACAAAAGAACAGCATCTGCTGCCACAAAAACACGCTTAAGCACATAGCCCATAGACACTATGAAGCACTACACAGTCAAGTCTATAAAACAGCCAGCTAACAACATGATGACAGGATCAAAATCTGACATATCAATATTAATCTTAAATGTAAGTTATCTAAATGCCCTACTTAAAAGGCATAGAGTGGTAAGTTGGATAAAAAGGCAAGACACCACTGTCTGCTGTCTTGAAGAGACCAATCTCATATGTAATGAAACCCACAGGGTCAAAGTAAAGGGATGCAGAAAGATTTGTCATGTAAACAAAAAACAAACAAAAAATAGTAGGGGTCACTATTTCTTATAGCGTATAAAACAAACCAACAACAATTACCAAGGACAAAGAAGGGCATTACATAATGATAAAGGGTTCAGTTCAACAAGAAGACTTTATCCTAAATGTATACACACTGAACATTGGAGCACCCGACTCATAAAACAAGTTTTTCTTGGCCTACAAAAAGACTTAGACAATCATACAATAATACTGGGAGACTTCACTGCTCCACTGATGGTTTTAGATCGTTAAGGCAGAAGACGAACAAAGAAATTCTGGACTTAAATTTGACACTTGACTAATTGGACTTAATAAACATCTACAGAACACTCCATCCAACAACCATAGAATATTCATTCTCATCTACACATGGAACATATTGTAAGATCAACCACACGCTTCGTCAGAAAGCAAGTCTGAATACATTCAAAAACACTGAAATCATCCCAGGCACATTCTTGAACCACAGTGCAATAAAATTAGAAATAAACGTCAAGAAGGTCTCTCAAAAGTACACAAATTCATGGAAAGTAAACAACTTGCTCCTGAATAACTCATGGGTCCACACTGAAATTAGGCAAAAATCAAAAAAATTCTTTGAAATTAAAACAGGGACACAACTAACCAAAATCTCTGAAATGAAGCTAAAGCAGGAAATAAAACTTTTTATATAAATAAGTAAATAAGATAATAAGAGGAAAGATTATAGCACTAAATACCTTCATCAAGAAGTTAGAAAAATCTGAATTTAATAATCCAACTTTGTACCTAAAGGAACTAGAAAAAAAAAAAGCTCAAAGCTAGCAGAAGAACAGATATAACTACAAATAGAGAAAAACTTAATGAAAGTGAGATGCAAAAATATGTACAAAAGGTCAGCGAAACCAATAATTGGTCCTTCAAAATAAAAATAAACAAAATTGGTAGATTGCTAGCTAGATTAACATAGAAAAAAAGCTGAAGACCCAAATGAGTACAATCAGAAATAACAAAAATGATGTTGCAACTGATCCCACAGAAATACAAAAGATACTCAAAGAATACTATAAGCAACTTTATGCATACAAATTAGAAAATCTAGAAGAAATGGATAAATTCATGGAAACACACAATCTCCCAAGATTGAATCCCTGGAAGAGATTGAAACCCTGATTAGACCAACATCAAGCTGTGAAACAGAATCAATAATAAAAAAACCTACCAACCAAAGTAAGTCCTGGGCCAGATAGATTCACAGCTGAATTCTACCAGAGTTAAAAAAAGAACTCTACCAATTTTATTGAAACTATTCCAAAAAATTGAGGAGTAGGAGCTCCTCCCTAACTCATTCTATGAAGCCAGTATCATCCTGATACCAAAACCTGGCAGGGACAGAACAAAAAACAAATCATCAGGGCAATATCCCTTATGAATACAGATGCAAATATCATCGACAAAATATTAGCTAATTGAATCCATCAGCACATCAAAAAGTTAACACACTGTGATCAAGTAGGTACTATTCCCGAGAGGTAAGGCTGATTCAATGTATGCAAATCAATAAATGTGATTCATCACATAAACATAATAAGAGACAAAAACCACATGATCATCTCAATAGATGCAGAAAAAGCATTCAATAATATCCAACATCCCTTCATGATAAAAACCCTTAACAGACTAGATTTTGAAGGAATATACCTCAAAACAATAAGAGCCATCTATGACAGACCCACAGCCAACATGATACTGAATGGGCAAAAGCTGGAAGTATTCCCCTTAAGAACTGGTAAAGGACAAGGATGTACATTCTCACCACACTTCTTCAACAGAGTACTTGAAGTCCTAGCCACAGCAATTATGCAAAAGAAAGAAATAAAAGATATCCAAATAGGAAAATAAGAAGTCAAACTATTTCTATTCACTGATGATATAATTCTATACTTAGAAAACTAGCTTTCACAAAAAGGCAACTAGAACTGACATACAATTTTAGGAAGGTTTCAGGACATGAAATCATTGTATAAAAATCAATAGCATTTCCATACATCAATAATGTCCAGGCTGAGAGTGAAATCAAGGACACAATCCCATTTACAATAGGCACAAAGAAAATTAAATACCTTGGAATACAGTTAACCAGAAAACCCTCTACAAAATTAATGGCAAAAACACTGCTGACAGAAATCAGAGATGACAGAAATAAATGGAAAAACATTCCATACTAATAGATTACAAGAATCAATATAGTTAAAATGGCCACACTGCCCAAAGCAATCAACAGTTTAATGGTATTCCTATCTCACCACCAACACCATTCTTCTCAGAATTAGAAAAAAAAGATAGAAAATTCATACAGAGCCAAAAAAGCCTGAATAGTCAAAACAATCCCATGCAAAATGTACCACATGAACATATGCACCTACTCTGTACCCAGAAAAATTGAAAAAAATGTAAAAAGAATGAAACTAGAGGCATCACACTACTCAAACTATAAGGCCATTGTAACCAAAACAGTATGCTACTGGTACAGAAACAGACACATAGACCCATAGAACAGAATAGAAAACCCAGAAATAAATCCATGCACTTACAACCATCAGCTCTTCAACAAGGCAGACAAAAATAAGCAATGGAGAAAAGACTCTCTGTTTAGAAGCCCCTACTGAGGAAAGTTGTGGGCTTGAGTCTGGAGCCTAAGAACATTCAACCAAGCTAACTCTCAGGTCTCTCTATTCAATAAATGGTGCTGGGATAACTGGCTAGTCAGATACAAAAAAAAGTGAAACTTGACCCTTATTTTTCACCATATACAAAAATCAACTCAAAATCGATTACAGATTTAAATTTAAGACCTCAGCCTATAGAAATCCTAGAAGAAAACCTAGGAAATACTCTTCTCAGCCACAGCCTTGGCAGAGAATTTTTGGCTGAGTCCTCAAAGGTAATTGCAACAAAAACTAGAGTTGACAAGTGGGACCTCATTAAACAAAAGAGCTTCTGCACAGCAAAAGGAACTATCAATAGAGTAAGCAGAAAACCTACAGAATGGGAGAAAATACTCACAAGCTATGCTTCCAAACAAAGGTCTAATATCCAGAAACTATAAAGAACTTAAACAAAGCAACAAGCAAAAAAACAAAACAAAAAAAATCCACTTAAAAATGGGCAAATAAGGCAATCCTAAGCAAAAAAGAACAAAGCTGGAGGCATCATATTACCCAACCTCAAACTATACTACAAGGCTACAGTAACCAAAACAGCATGATACTGGTACAAAAACAGACACATAAACCAATGGAACATAATGAGAGGCCAGAAATAGTGCTGCACACCTATAACCATCTGAACTTTCACAAAGAGGATACAAACAAGCAGTAGGGAAAGGACTTTCTATTCAATAAATGGTGCTGGGATAATGGGCAAGCCACATGCAAAAGACTGAAATGTAACCCCTTCTTTCTTTTCCATTTGTTTTATTTTATTTTATTTTGTTACTATTATACTTTAAGTTTTAGGGTACACGTGCACAACGTGCAGGTTTTGTTACACATGTATACATGTGCCATGTTGGTGTGCTGCACCCTACAAAAATCAGTTCAACATGGATTGGAGAATTAAATGTAAAACCGCAAACTATAAAAACCCCAGGAGATAACTTAGGAAATTCCATTCTCAAATAGGCCCTGGCTAGTATTTCATGGTGAAGACACCAAAAACATTGACCACAAAAACCAGAAATTGACAAATGAGACCTAAGTAAACTAAAGAGCTTCTGCAGAGCAGAATGAACTGTCAACAGAGTCAACAGACAACCCACAAAATGGGATAAAATATTTGCAAACTATGCACCCAACAAAGGTCTAATATCCAGAATCTACAAGGAACTTAAATGATCGAGCAAAAAACAATCTCTTTAAAAATTGGGCAAAGGACATGAACAAAGGCTTTTCAAAGACCTACATGCAGCCAAGAAGCATATGAAAAAATGCTCGACATCGCTAAGCACATCAAAACCACAACGAGATACCAACTCACAGCAGTCAGAATGGTTATTATTAAAAAGTCAAAAAATAACATGCTAGTGAGGTTTCAGAGAAGAGGGAACACTTATACGCTGCTGGTGGGAATGTAAATTAGTTCAGCCATTGTGGAAAGCAGCGTGGCAATTTCTCAAAGAAATTAAAAGAGAATTATCATTTAACCTAGCAATCTCATTATTGGGCACATATCCAAAGGAATATAAATCATTTTACCATAAAGACATATGCACACATATGTTCAACACAGTACTATTCTCAATAGCAAAGTTGCCATCAATGGTAAACTGTATAAAGAAAATGTGGTACACAGACACAATGGAATACTATGTAGTCATAAAAAGAATGAGATCATGTCCTTTGCAAGAAAGAGATAAAAGGAAAAGAGTCAAAATTAATGAAACATAAAGTAGACAAACATTAGAAAAAAATTTAAAAGCCAAAAATTGGTATTTTGAAATGATTACCAAAATTGATAAACCCCTAGTAGAATGATGAATTTTAAAAGAGAAACACACAAACTACCAACATTAAGAATAACAAGAGAAGCACTATTAGTCCTAAAGAAACTGAAGGGATAATAAGGGAATATGAAGAATAGCAATATGACAAAACACATTTGCCAAAACTGGCACATCAAGATATACAAAATCTAAATAGGAATATATTTTAAAAGGAAATGAATGTAGAGCTGAAAACTTTCTACTAAGAAAATTCCAGGTTCATATGGCTCAACCAGGGAGTTTTCTAAAATATGTAAGAAACGGGTAATGCCAATTGTATCTAAACTCGTTCATAAAATAGAAGAAAGGATACCATTGCCCAACTTTCTTTATGAGGTCAGTATAACCCTGATACCAAAATCTGACACAGGATTTTGCATTGCAAGGATTTTGCATTACAAGAAAAGATGATTTCTCAAAAACATACACATACAATTTTATTTTTATTTTTTTGAGACGGACTCTGACTCTGTCACCCAGGCTGGAGTGCAGTCGTGCGATCTCGGCTCACTGCAAGCTCCACCTCCCGGGTTCATGCCATTCTCCTGCCTCAGTCTCCCAAATAGCTGAGACTACAGGCCCACCACCAAGCCCGGCTAATTTTTTGTATTTTCAGTAGAGACGGGGTTTCACCGTCTTAGCCAGGATGGTCTCGATCTCCTGACCTCATGATTCGCCCTCCTCGGCCTCCCAAAGTGGTGGGATTACAAGCGTGAGCCACCCTGCCCGGCTACACATAAAATTTTAAAACAAAGCATTAGCAATCCGAACATGACAATACATAAAAAGTTGTGACCAGATGGGATGTATCCCAAAAACGCATAGTTGGCTTAACATTTGAAAATCAATCAAGTTAATTGCTATATTCACTGAATGAAGGTGGAAAAATGATATGATCTTGCCAATAGAGGCAGAAAATCATCTGTTTTAACATCCATTCATGTCTGTAAAAAATTCTAAGTACATTGGAAATGAAAGGGAACCTCTCCAGTCCAATAAAGGGCAATTATGAAAAACCTATAGCAACCATTATAACATATGATAAAATCTTGAATGCATGCCCCCTTAAGATTAGGAAGAATGCAAGTATCCATGCTCTCACCACTTCTATTCAACATGTGCTAACCACTGAAATAAAGTTTTTTTTAAAGGTATTAATATTAGGAAGAAAAAAATAAAAATCTATTTATTCATAGAAGAAATGTATGTGTAGAGCATACTATGGTGTCTTTAAAGAACTAGAATTTACAAGGAAATTTATCAAGGGTTGCAGGATACAAGATCAACATTTAAAAACTAAATCTTGGTGAGAATGTGAAACAACTATTAACTCTGAAAAACGAAACAAAGTAAACTTAAATGTTATTATTCTTCTTCCTTTGATTTTTTTGTATAAAGTGTTAAGGATATAAAAATACTAGAAGTCATGCCATAAAAGTAAAAAAAGAAAAAAAAATTCTCTTTGAATTTTTATTTTTTGACTTTTCTTTTTTTTTCTTTTCTTTTTTTTTTTTTTTTTTTTGAGACGGAGTCTCGCTCTGTCGCCCAGGCTGGAGTGCAGTGGCGCGATCTCGGCTCACTGCAAGCTGCGCCTCCCAGGTTCACGCCATTCTCCTGCCTCAGCCTCCTGAGTAGCTGGGACTACAGGCGCCCGCCACCACGCCCAGGTAATTTTTTTTTTTTGTATTTTTTATTACAGACGGGGTTTCACCGTGTTAGCCAGAATGGTCTCGATCTCCTGACCTCGTGATCTGCCCACCTCGGCCTCCCAAAGTGCTGGGATTATAGGCGTGAGCCACCGTGCCCAGCCATTCTTTGACTTTTTAATAATAGTCCTTCTGACTGGTGTGAGATGGTATCTCATTGTGGTTTTGATTTGCATTTCTCTAATGCATAGTCAAGCTGAGCATTTTTTTTTTCATATGCTTATTGGCCGTATACATGTTTTCTTTTGGGAAGTATCTTTTCATATAAAAAGTGGTCATTTTTTTGAGAAAAAAATGAATAAATTCAGAGACAAACTCTTGTTGGTTAAAAATAATATTGAATATATACATGTCAATGCATAAATAGAATACAATTTAATAAAATACCAGTAATACTTTTCATTGTAAAATTAATTCAAGATTATCTAGAAGAGAAAATCTATCCAAGGTGATAAAACTTTCCTAGAAGGATTAAAAAGTCTCCATTTTGAGGACTATTTTAGATCTTCAGATTAATTTTATCTTATCTATTAGAGTGAACATTAAGAGGTGAGTAAGATCCTGGATTATATGCACAATTATGAAAAAAAATCATGTTTTTAAAAGTTTTGGTGGCAAGACTAACCTACTCCAAGATGGGGTTGTTATTCCACTTAAGAACGTATCTAACCTCATTCATTTTGCTTCCTTTCTCTATTTTCCTCTGTGCAGCTCTCTTTATCATTGTTTTCTTTTTATGGTTATATGGATTTGTAGACTGTGCATTTATATGGACTGCCATGCGAGCTGTCACAGCCCAGGCAGTGGAGTGTGGTTGGCTTGTGGGTAGTAAGAAGAATTTACCAACAACTGTATAGATTTGAAAAGGAAAGTTGTATTAGATGGAAAGAACGCTGCAGAGGAGTGCAGCAGGGCTCCTCAGCAAGAGAGGACTGAGGACGCCACTGCAGTAGATTTTTCCTTAGGGTATTTATGGACCTTAAAGTGGGAGCTTAAGGGTAATTTTTACCATATTAGCCACATAGGTCATGGTAAACAATTACATTTATAGACATTTTGGTGCCTTGATGTCAGCAGGGATTGCACAATGAGTTTAGAATACATGCATTCCAGAGATGCATAGAAATTCTGGTTACTCACAAATTTTTGGAAAAGAAATCTCATACCAGATGCCAGCTTTACATAATAGGGATGTCTAATTACTTCTGAATTCCTTGGATAAGGAGTTTTGCCTCTGGATGGTCTTGCTCTCCTCATGGACTAGTATCTCTCTGTCTCTTCACCATTTGTTTTTAAGTCATACGACTATCTTTCCATTTATGTCTCTGCTAGTCTTTCTTTTCCCTTTTCTCTTGATTTTTATTTTGATTATTGTAACTTTTTCTGTACTTCTCTCTCTCTCCTTTCTTCTTTCTTTCCTTTTTCTACTCTTACACTTTGTTTTTGAACTGTGAAATAAATTAAAACAAATGTATTTGGTGATAAATTATGTTTATTACCCCCAAATCTGTGTTCTTATTTCACTTGTAAAGTGACCCATAAACTCAGTGTTTTCTTTAAAGCAAAAGATTAAACTAATTTTTAAATAAAATTAATAAAATTAATTTGCATTTATTTTTTCTGACTCAAATAATTTTTAAAATTAATAATCTTTAATGGAAAAATGTTTTTCATCCTTGTTTTAGTTGAGCAGAGTGAAAGGGAACAAATTACAAATACCAAGATCATGACACATCTTTTCATGCTATGTAGGAGATCACCTTCCCTTTAGCAATTGTTCTATCCTATACTAAGAAACTATTTTCTCTAAGAAGAATTATGCAGCAGTATTCATGAGCTTTTCAATATTTCCTTTGCTAATGTCCTTATCACCGTCAACATCCTACAACTGAGTAAGGTGCTTATCTTGCATGCAAAATTTAAAGGCGTGCCCAAAAACTCAATAGTAGAGATAAACATTTAAATCAATATTTTGAGAAATCAAAATTAATTTTAAAATTTGTGATAAAGTACCAAATTTTAAGCAAAGGCAGGATCAGCAACTGCCATGTTGAGCCATGTTGGAACCTGAGGCAACAGGAAAAATAAATAATATTGGTGAAGTCTTTTTTAAAAATTATACTTTAAGTTCTGGGATACATGCGTAGAATATGCAGGTTTGTTACATAGGTAAATATGTGCCATGGTGGTTTGCTGCACCCATCAACCTGTCACCTACATTAGGTATTTCTCCTAATGCTATCCTTCCCCTAGCCCCCCACCCTGTGACAGGCCCCCGTGTGGGATATTCCCCTCCCTGTGTCCCTGTGTTCTCACTGTTCAACTCCCACTTAAGAGTAAGAACATGTGGTGTTTGGTTTTCTGTTCCTGTGTTAGTTTGCTGAGAATGATGGTTTCTAGCTTCATCCATATCCCTGCAAATGACATGAACTCATCCTTTTTTATGGCTGCATAGTATTCCATAAAGTATATGTGACCCATTTTCTTTATCCAGTCTATGATTGATGGGCATTTGGGTTGGTTCAAAGTCTTTGCTATTGTGAACAGTGCCACAGTAAACATACATGTGCATGTGTCTTTATAGTAGAATGATATATAATTCTTTGGGTATATACCCAGTAATGGGATTGCTGGGTCAAATGGTATTTCTGGTTCTACATCCTTGAGGAATCGCTACACTGTCTTCTACAATGGTTGAACTAATTTACCCTCCCACCAACAGTGTAAAAGGGTTCCTATTTCTCCACATCCTCTCCAGCATCTGCTGTTTCCTGACCTTTTAATGATCACCATTCTAACTGGCATGAGATGGTATCTCATTGTGGTTTTGATTTGCATTTCTCTAATGACCAGTGATGATGAGCTTTTTTTTCATATGTTTGTTGGCTGCATAAATGTCTTCTTTTGAGAAGTGTCTGTTCATATCCTTTGTTCACTTTTTGATAGGGTTGTTTTTTTTCTTGTAAATTTGTTTAAGTTCCCTGTAGATGCTAGATATTAGCCCTTTGTCAGCTGGATAGATTGCAAAAATTTCCTCTCATTCTGTAGGTTGACTGTCCACTCTGATGAGAGGTTTTTTTTTTTGTTTGTTTGTTTGTTTTTTTGCTGTGCAGAAGCTCTTTAGTTTAATTAGATCTCATTTGTCAATTTTGGCTTTTGTTGCCATTGGTTTTGGTGTTTTAGTCATGAAGTCTTTGCCCATGCCTATGTCCTGAATGGTATTGCCTAGGTTTTCTTCTAGGGTTTTTATGGTTTTAGGTTTTCCATTTACTCCTTTAATCCATCTTGAGTTAATTTTGTATAAGGTGTAAGGAAGGGGTTCAGTTTCAGTTTTCTGCATATGTCTAGCCAGTTTTCACAACACCATTTATTAAATAGGGAATCCTTTTCCCATTGCTTGCTTTTGTCAGGCTTGTTAAAGACCAGATGGTTGTAGATGTGTGGCATTATTTCTAAGGCCTCTTTTCTGTTCCATTGGTCTATATATCTGTTTTGGTACCAGTACCATGCTGTTTTGGTTACTGCGGCCTTGTAGTATAGTTCGAAGTCAGGTAGTGTGATGCCTCTTTCTTTTTGCTTAGGATTGTCTTGGCTATACAGGCTCTTTTTTGGTTCTGTATGAAATTTAAAGTTGTTTTTTCTAATTCTGTGAAGAAAATCAATGGTAGCTTGATGGGGATAGCATTGAATCTGTAAATTACTTTGGGCAGTATGGCCATTTTCATGATATTGATTCTTCCTATCCATGAGCACAGAACGTTTTTCCATTTGTGTCCTCTCTTTTTCCTTGAGCAGTGGTTTGTAATTCTCCTTGAAGAGGTCCTTCATATCCCTTGTTAGTTGTATTCCTAGGTATTTCATTCTCTTTGTAGCAGTTGTGAATGGGAGTTCACTCATGATTTGGCTGTTTATCTATTAATGGTATATAGGAATGTTTGTAATTTTTGCACATTGATTTTGTATCCTGAGACTTTGCTGAAGTTGCTTATGAGCTTAAGGAGATTTTGGGCTAAGATGATGGGGTTTTCTAAATATACAATCATGTCATCTGCAAACTTTGACAATTTACCTCCCTCTCTTCCTATTTGAATACGCTTTATTTCTTTCTCTTCCCTGATTGCCCTGGCCAGAACTTCCAATGCTGTGTTGAATAAGAATGGTGAGAAAAGGCATCCTTGTCTTGTGCTGGTTTTCAAAGAGAATGCTTCCAGCTTTTGCCCATTCGGTATGATATTGGCTGTGGGTGTGTCATAAATAGCTCTTATTATTTTCAGATACGTTCCATCAATACCTAGTTTATTTAGAGTTTTTAGCATGAAGGGGTGAATTTTACCGAAGGCCTTTTCTGCATCTATTGAGATAATCATGTGATGTTTGTCATTGGTTCTGTTTATGTGATGGATTATGTTTACTGATTGGGTATGTTGAACCAGCCTTGCATTCCAGGGATGAAGCCAACTTGATCATGGTGGATAAGCTTTTTGATGTGCTGCTGGATTCGGTTTGCCAGTATTTTATTGAGGATTTTTGCATTGATGTTCATCAGGGATATTGGCCTGAAATTTTCTTTTTTATGTGTGTCTCTGCCAGGTTTTGGTATCAGGATGATGCTGGCCTCATAAAATGAGTTAGGGAGGAGTCCCTCTTTTTCTATTGTTTGTAATAGTTTCTGAAGGAATGGTACCAGCTCCTCTTTGTACCTCTGGTAGAATTTGGCTGTGAATCTGTCTGGTCCTGGACTTTTTTTTGGTTGGTAGGCTATTAATTACTGCCTCGATTTCAGAACTTGTTATTTGTCTATTCAGGGATTTGACTTCTTCCTGGTTCAGTCTTGGGAGGGTGTATGTGCCCAGGAATTTATCCATTTCTTGTAGATTTTCTAGTTTATTTGTGTAGAGGTGTTTGTAGTATTCTCTGATGGTAGTTTGTATTTCTATGGGATCAGTGGTGATACCCCTTTATCATTTTCTATTGTGTCTATTTGATTCTTCTTTCTTTTCTTCATTAGTCTGGTTAGTGGTCTATTTATTTTGTTAATGTTTTCAAAAAACCAGCTCCTGGATGCATTGATTTTTTGAAGGGTTTTTTGTGTCTCTATCTCCTTCAGTTCTGCTCTGATCTTAGTTATTTCTTGTCTTCTGCTAGCTTTTGAATTTGTCTGCTCTTACTTCTCTAGTTCTTTTAATTGTAATGTTAGGGTGTTGATTTTAGATCTTTCCTGCTTTAAGCTGTTGGCATTTAGTGCTATAAATTTTCCTGTAAACACTGCATTAGCTGTGTCCCAGAGATTCTCGTACATTGTGTCTTTGTTCTCATTGGTTTCAAAGAACTTATTTATTTCTGCCTAAATTTCGTTATTTACCCAGTAGTCATTCAGGAGCAGGTTGTTCAGTTTCCATGCAGTTGTGCAGTTTTGAGTGAGTTTCTTAATCCTGAGTTCTAATTTGATTGCACTGTGATCTGAGAGACTATTTGTTATGATTTCTGTTCTTTTGCATTTGCTGAGGAGTGTTTTACTTCCAATTATGTGGTCAATTTTATAATAAGTGTGATGTGGTGCTGAAAAGAATGTATATTCTGTTGATTTGGGGTGGAGAGTTTTGTAGATGTCTATTAGTTCTGCTTGGTCCAGAGCTGAGTTCAAGTCCTGAATGTCCTTGTTAATTTTCTGTCTCTTGATCTGTCTAATATTGACAGTGGGGTGTTAAAGTCTCCCACTATTATTGTGTGGGAATGTAAGTCTCTTTGTATATCTCTAAGGACTTGCTTTATGAATATGGGTGCTCCTGTATTAGGTGCATACATATTTGGGATAGTTAGCTTTTCTTGTTGCATTGATCCGTTTACCATTATGTAATGCCCTTTTTTGTCTTTTTTGATCTTTGTTGGTTTAAAGTCTGTTTTATCAGAGACTAGGATTGCAACCCCTGCTTTTTTTTGGCTTTCAATATGCTTGGTAAATCTTCCTCCATCCCTTCATTTTGAGCCTATGTGTGTCTTTGCACGTGAGATGGGTCTCCTGAATACAGCACACCAATGGGTCTTGAGTCTCTATCCAATTTACCAGTCTGTGTATTCTAACTGGGGACTTAACCCATTTACATTTAAGGTTAACATTGTTATGTGTGAATTTGATCCTGTCATTATGATGTTATCTGGTTATTTTGCCTGTTAGTTGATGCAGTTTTTTCATAGCTTCAATAGTCTTTACAATTTGGTATGTTTTTGCAGTGGCTGGTACCAGTTTTTCTTTCCATATTTGGTGCTTCCTTCTGGAGGTCTTGTAAGGCAGGCCTGGTGGTGACAAAAATCTGTTAGTATTTTCTTATCTGTAAAGGATTTTATTTCTCCTTCATCTATGAAACTTTGTTTGGCTGGATATTAAATTCTGGTTTGAAAATTCTTTTCTTTAAGAACGTTGAATATTGGCCCCCACTTCTTTCTGGCTTGTAGGGTTTCTGCAGAGAGATCCACTGTTAGTCTGATGGACTTCCCTTTGTGGGTAACTACTTGACCTTTCTTCCTGGCTGACCTTAACATTTTTTCCTTCATTTCAACCTTGGTGAATCTGACAATTATGTTTCTTGGGGTTGCTCTTCTCGAGGAGTATCTTTGTGGTGTTCTCTGTATTTCCTGAATTTGAATGCTGGCCTGTCTTGCTAGGTTGGGAAAGTTCTCCTGGATAATATCCTGAAGAGTGTTTTCCAACTTGGTTCCATTCTCCCCGTCACTTTCAGGTACACCAATCAAACGTAGGTTTGGTCTTTTCACATAGTCCCATATTTCTTGGAGGATTTGTTCATTCCTTTTCAATCTTTTTTCTCCAATCTTGTCTTCACGCTTTATTTCATTAAGTTGATCTTCAATCCCTGGTATCCTTTCATCCACTCAATTGATTTGGCTATTGATACTTGTGTATGCTTCATGAAGTTCTCGTGCTGTGTTTCTCAGCTCCATCAGGTTATTTATGTTCTTTTCTAAGGTGGTTATTTTAGTTATCAATTCCTCTAACCTTTTTCAAGGTTCTTAGCTTCCTTGTTTTGGGTTAGAACATGCTCCTTTAGCTCAGAGGAGTTTGTTACTACCCATCTTTGGAAGCCTACTTCTGTCAACTTGTCAAACTCATTCTCCATCCAGTTTTGCTCCCTTGCTGGCAAGGAGTTGTGATACTTTGGAGGAGAAGAGGTGTTCTGGTTTTTGGAATTTTCAGCCTTTTTGCTCTGGTTTTTCCTCATCTTCTTGGACCTATCTAACTTTGTTCTTTGATGTTGGTGACCTTCAGTTGGTGTTTTTGGGTGGACATCCTTTTTGTTGATGTTGATGCTATTTCTTTCTGTTTGTTAGTTTTCCTTCTAACAGTCAGGCCCTTCTGCTGCAGGTCTGCTGGAGTTTGCTGCGGGTCCACTCCAGACCCTGTTTACCTGGGTGTCATCGCAGATGCTGCAGAACAGCAAAGACTACTGCCTGTTCCTTCTTCTGGAAGCTTTGTCCCAGAGGGGCACCAGCCAGATGCCAGCTGGAGATCTCCCGTATGAGGTGTCTGTCAACTCCTGCTAGGAGGTGTCTCCCAGTCAGGAGGCACAGGCATCAGGGAGCCACTTGAGGAGGCAGTCTGTCCCTTAGCAGAGTTCAAGCGCTTTGCTGGGAGATCTGCTGCTCCCTTCAGAGATGGCAGGCAGGAACATTTAAGTCTGCTGAAGCTGTGCCCACAGCCGCCCTTCCCCCCAGGTGCTCTGTCCCAGGGAGATGGGATTTTTATCTATAAGCCCCTGACTGGGGACGCTGCCTTTCTTTCAGAGATACCCTGCCCAGAGAGGAGAAATCTAGAGAAGCAGTCTGGCTATAGCTGCTTTGCTGGGTTGCAGTGGGCTCTGCCCAGTTCAAACTTCCTGGTGGTTTTATTTACACTGTGAAGAGAAAAGTGCCTACTCAAGCCTCAGTAATGGCGGATGCCCCTACCCCAACCAAGCTCGAGTGTCCCAGGTCAACTTCAGAGTGCTGTGCTGGCAGCAAGAATTTCAAGCCAGTGGATCTTAGCTTGCTGGGCTCCATGGGGGTGGGATCCACTGAGATAGACCACTTGACTCCCTGGCTTCAGCCCCATTTCCAGGGGAGTGAATCGTTCTATCTTGCTGGCATTCCGGGTGCCACTGGGGTATGAAAAAAACTCCTGCTTCTACCTCAGTGTCTGCCCAAATGGCTGCCTAGTTTTGTGCTTGAAACCCAGGGCCCTGGTGGTGTAGGCACCCAAGGGAATCTCCTGGTCTGCAGGTTGCAAAAACCATGGGAAAAGCCTAGTATGTGGATCAGAATCCACCATTCCTCTTGGCACAGTCTCTCATGGCTTCCCTTGGCCGGGGAGGGAGTTCCCTGAACCCTTCCACTTCCCGGGTGAGGTGATGCCCCACCCTGCTTTGGCTCATCCTCCGTAGGCTGAACCCACTGTCTAACCAGTCCCAATGAGATGAGCCGGGTACCTCAGTTGGAAATGCAGAAATCACCCACCTTCTGCATTGGTCTTGCTGGGAGCTGCAGACTGGACTTGCTCTTATCTGGCCATCTTGCCAGCCACCCTCTAAAGTTTGGTGAAGCCTTTAATTGAAAAATTTGAGTCTAGTCACATATATATATATATATATATATATATATATATATATATATATATGTATATATGTAATTTTTGCCTCATCCTACCCCTGCTTGCTTTTGTGGTACAAAGCAATAATCTCTCATCATTTATTTAATATTTTTCTCCTTTTGAATTTTATTATAACATGTAAATTTACTTCTCTCAAACTTCTATTTACTTCTGGACTAAAAAGTATGCTTCTGAATAGGGTTCTGTCTTTTTCACAGTAGAATTTTTGTTTTAGAACTAGAAAGGAAGTCAGCTTGGCATTATGTAGCACATTTAAAAAAAATTAATTCTTGCAAAGCTCTGGTATTTTTCTTTGCCTTATTTAGTTGATAACTAATATAGTTTGCCTAATAACTCCCTTTGGAAGCATTCAGTGGGTCACGGTAGTCTCAAATCTCAAAAGCACTTTCTCCATTACAATAGAGAGATTTTAAAATCTAAGGTTCCTCATGTGGCAATGAACATTTATGAACAATGGCAAAATTGGTTAGTCTTACTAGGAGAGGGAGGATGGCTACTTTGTGAGAGTAACATAAGATCCCTGAAGGCTTAAATTTCTGGAGCTCTTCATATATATACAAGAAACAAGAAGAAAGAGACAATAGAAAAAATATTGCAACTATTTTACTTGTTCACCTGATATCTTAGATTGCAGTTGAATAGACAGGTCAGAGTATTAGCAGGAATAGCCACAGGCTAAGGTCTAAATTCAGCAGTGGGGCACTGTGTATTCTCTCTCCTAATAGATCTCCATCTGCATTTAATGCTTGGGATTACTTTACTGGTGAACTAAACCTTTAATTCTATTATAATTTTCCATAGACTCAAGAGAATTGACATCTGGTGTTAAAAAACAAAAAATCATACAAATGACTGATATGTATCATTTTCCTTATTAAATATGGAAGAAAGGGGAGGAGGATGCAGAAATGGTTGGCTAAAAGCTCCAGAGAAAAACTTAACAGATTTTATGATTTTGCGGAAGGTAAGTCCTTGACCTCTTCATTTTCACATTCAGCAGGTATGAAAGTTTCTTCTGTTACATATGGTTCTATCATTTATTCATAGAATTTTGACAGAAAGCTGTAGAACTGAAAAAAAGCTTGATATACAAACTACTAGCTGTATTGGCAATTTTACATGAAGGCATTACTGACCCTCCACAGCTTCTTTCTATTAACCATTCAGATTTATGCAACTACCATTATCCCAGGGGTTACTCAAAGACATTGACAAAAGATCTAGCAGCATTCTGTCCATTCAATATAACTACTTTTAACATCTAAATATTTTCAGGATTAACTTTGGTTGAAGCATACTTGAATGAATTACATATTAATACCATCATCACCTCATTTGATCCTCATGTTACCCCCATCAGACCCAAAGAGTCAATACATTAAACTATTTGGTAGATGAAAACTCAGGCTTCTGAAAGCTAAGTGACTTTGCCAGAATCACACAGTAAGTTAATTGCTCAGTCAAGGCATGAGAGTCAGATAAATGATTCCCAAACCAGGGATCCTTTTATGTTATTACATTGCCTAAAAAACTGGCATTCAAATGGAATTTAGAGGGCATTTAATCTGGCCATCTCATTTGATTGATGAATAAATTTTCTGGCTAAGAATCTATACATTTGTTTAGTGCTTTATATACTCAGCATCAGCATCAGTATAAATTAAATTTTCTATTATGTTCTCAGCCTGATTCACACTTTTTAGAAAATATAAAACTTATTTCATACTCAAATAATTTACTAACCTTGTGTAGTTAGTAAATTATTACTACTAATATTACATCTCTATTTTTGAAATTTACATTCAATATATTTATTTCATTAGGATGCTACTAATGAAATTAACTTTTTTTTTAAAAAAAGGTGAATCATCTCATTTTTATCAGGTTCACTACATATATATGAAGTAGTTGATAAATGACTCAGCGTTGGCCAATTGCAAGAATACCACTTAAAAGTAAATGGTTATTACTGAAGAGTGAATTATACATTTTCATTTTGTAGACTTAACATTTAAAATGGAAGATGGTGGGAAGCACACACATTTCTCAGTCTTGTTGGAAAAGCAAATGACAACGAGATTTTCTGTTTCTTGTTTCGTTTTGTTTTTAGATGCATTAGCAAGACAGGTGTGGGTAGAATGGAGTAGCCATGAACATAGACAAAAAGTGGAGAGAGTGAAAACATATCAGAGTGAAAAAACATAGATAAATGTAAGGGAGAAGAAAGAAAAAAAAATAAAGAACAATATTTAAAGAGAACAAAATAAATAGAGCCAGAAAGAAACAGAGAAGGGGAAAAGAACAGGCAACAAATTAACAGGGAAAAGAAGTCACAACCAGAAAAAAAAAGAAAATGAACTGCTTATTGATGAATAAAGAAAGAGAGAAAAAGAAAAATAAGGAAGGAGGCGGAGTAAGCACATAAGATCTCTAAACACTTGGCTCCAGCAGCCCATCTGACCACACTCAGACTCCAGGCATGCACACACAGAGTTGCCTGGAGATGTTTCTGTGTCTCCACCTTGCAAATGTGGTGAACCCTTCTCCTTCATCTTCCCTATTTCTGCAGTGTGTCATCATGGCCAGAAACTGATCAATCCACGAATTAGCTGAAATGGCAAGAACGATTAGAGATACAGTGAGGAGGGTATGGTACAGAGTTTTGACAGAACTTTCTCTACTAATTTGGCTAAAATAGAACACTTTACTCTGATGACGTCATCATTTATGGATTTTTTTTTTTTGGTAGAAACTTATTTTATTTTGCTTAGAGGAACGCTCATCTGATTAGTCTCTGCGTCTATTCCAACCACAATTTAGAGAAGGTAGAGATAATTCAAAGATGGAAATGGGACAGGGAAGAAAGTTGATCAAGATGTCAAGTAGTACAGAATCCCATCTGTTAAGAAACAGTGGAAAAATAACAGTGAGGCTGGGACACAGGCAGAATGGAAGAGCTTATAACCTTCAATTTCAAAGTCCTTCAGAAATCCTCAAATGTCTCAGGGATATTGTTAAATGCTAACACATCAAGAAATACCTCACTCTATGTTAGCATGTGGGATGCATAAAACATATAAGTAAGTACAGTTGACTCCAGAAAAACATGGGTTTGAACCACACGTGTCCACTTATATGTGGATTTTCTTCCACCTCTGCCACCCCTGAGACAGCAAAACGAACCCTTCCTTTTCCTTCTCCTCAGCCTACTCAGTGGGAAGACGACAACGATAAGAACTTTATGATGATTTGCTTCCACTTAATGAACAGTATTTATATCTTCCTTTCCTTATGATTTTGTTATATTTTATTTTCTGTAGCTTAATTTATTGTAGGAATATAGTATATAATACATAAAACAAAAATATTTGTTATTCAACTGTTTATGTTACCAGCAAAGCTTCTGATCAACAGTAATCATTAGAAGCTAAGTTTTTAGGGAGTCAGGGTATGTGCTAATTTTTTATTGCACAGGGGATCTGCCCCCTTAACTCCTGCATTGTTCAATTGTCAACTGTAGAAGGGGCTCTTGATTTAAGGAAATATTTATATAGGCAGATAGTAGAATAAATGTTGAGACAAATGGCTGGCAAAGGGGGAAAAGGTTAAGACATGAGCAGAAAAGCTCATTTGAAGGATCTACAAAATATTTTTTCCTATTACAATTTTGCATGTGTTTGTATGTGTGTGCATACGTGTGTGTTCATGTGGTATTTGCATATGTATATATGATGATGTGTTAAAATATGACTTTCATAAATTCCACATGTGGCTGCCAGTAACACCCAGAAATTTCTGTATTAACCACTCTATTCCACTCTAGGGATACATAAAGCAGATAGTTTTAATGCTTCTTAAAATATGTACCCTAAGATGACACTATATAGATGTGCTGTCTGTCTTTTGGTGTTTGTTTGCTTGTTTGTTTGCTTGTTTGGTGTTTGTTTGCCTGATTTTCTATTTCTCTCTTCTTTCTTCCCTCATCCTCTATCTTCTTGTCTTTCTTTTCTAGGTACTGTTGCAGTAGCATTTTCTGTCAAAGATTTTCCCTTCCTTCCGTACCCCATGTGCTAGAGCACTTATTTATTTATTTATTTATTTATTTATTTATTTATTTATTTTGAGACAGAGTCTCGCTCTGTCACCCAGGCTGGAGTGCAGTGGCATGATCTCGGCTCACTGAAAGCTCTGCCTCCTGGGTTCACACCATTCTCCTGCCTCAGCCTCCTGAGTAGCTGGGACTACAGGCAACCACCACCACTACGGCTAATTTTTTTTGTATTTTTTTAGTAGAGACGGGGTTTCACCATGTTAGCCAAGATGGTCTCGATCTCCTGACCTCGTGATCCACCCGCCTTGGCCTCCCAAAGTGCTGGGATTACAGGCATAAGCCACCACGCCCGGCCGCTAGAGCACTTATTTAAAACAAATACACTGTTTAGTTAAATCATATTAAGAATATCCTTTTATATTACAGTTTGTATTTTGTTGTAGGCCAACAATTTTCAAACTTAAAAAATTTACTCCCCTAAGACATTTTTTGAATATGTAACCTTAAATGTATGCATATTTATTTATAAAGTATATATAAACCATTGTACTATGTTATCCATTATAAATATTAAAAAGTGAATTTAGAAAAGAATGAAATGTAGTGATACATATAAAATGTTATACACTGACTAAATATAGATAAATTACTATGTTCTTTCTATACTTCAGTGGATTATCATGTGCACCTTCTGGAATGAGTATACCCCATGAAAACAATCTGAATTTTAAATATGAATTTTCTTCACAATGGACATTGTTTTTCTTTTTATTTAAACAAGGTTGAACTTACAAATCAAAGCAATACGGGAGTGATTTTAGACTAGCAATATTATCTTTAGTTATTCAGATGCACAAAAAGAACATTCATTCATTGAAGCTGTGATTAAAAAATTCTTTATCTATTTAAACTGAATAGTATACACTTGCATTATCCTACTACTTATCAAGCAGAGCAAAAAATAAAACTCACTCTAAACTTAAGTAATATAACTACAGGTTATTTCTCATCTTTGAAATGGAAGAATAACACTACAGTATCTTTATGGCTACTTACAGTGTATCTATGCTATGATCTTATGAGTTGAGATAATGATATTTTAAAGTTTTATACTTGCAAATTTTATATTGTAGCATATTTTTTGTTAAAGGGCTGTATCTTGGGTGTCATACTTGGAACAGAGAAAGAAATGTGTTGTGAGTTTATTAGTATTTGAAACTCAAAAAGTGCTAAATAAGCTGCATGCAGGTGTGGAGTGGCCACAGGAGTGGTGTTCAAACAGAGTTACAGCTGGAGCACTGTGCCTGTGTTAGGTCAAAAGTGGAGCTATAGCTTGGGATTCTCGTGAACAGTCTGGGAAAAGAGTATTCAAGGATATCAGACCAAAAGGAGTATAATAAGAAGTAAATTAGATGATAAGACAGAGGGCAAGGAAGAGAGTTACCAGCTAGGAACTGGGAATTACACAGGAACTGAGGGAAGAAAATGTCTAGGAAAATTTGGGGGTGGTGTGGACAAGGAGAAAAAGGGTCTAATCCCAAGAAAAGAACTAACCCTCAAGCATAGTATATCCAAAAAACTCAAAGACCTTCAGATTTGAAGTTAGGTTGTGTCTCCATTAGGAAACTTACATGATTTAGGAATGTAGGAATCCCAACGTGGAGGATACCAGACTCCTAACATGGAAAATGATTCTGTAGAAGCACATGGTTGAATGGGAATAAACCTGTAGCTTTGAGAACCATATTTTGTTTTCATTTTTCATTTTAAATTTGGAGAAATTAAGGTAACGGAGTTTCCCCAGAATAGGAGAGGGATGGGAAGTGTTGTTTTTAGCTGAAGTACTATATGTGCCAAATATTTTTTAGCTGTAGAACTAGTATCTAGTTGGAAGACATAGCAATAACAATTAATTCTGCTTCTTAATGTACTGCAGGCCAGGGAAATGGAAAGCGAGAACAGAACAGTGATAAGAGAATTCATCCTCCTTCGTTTGACCCAGTTTCGAGATATTTAGCTCCTGGTCTTTGTGCTAGTTTTAATATTCTACTTCTTCATCCTCCCTGGAAATTTTCTCATTATTTTCACCATAAGGTCAGACCCTGGGCTCACAGCCCCCCTCTATTTATTTCTGGGCAACTTGGCCTTCCTGGATGCATCCTACTCCTTCATTGTGGCTCCCAAGATGTTGGTGGACTTCCTCTCTGAGAAGAAGGTAATCTCCTACAGAGGCTGCATCACTCAGCTCTTTTTCTTGCACTTCCTTGGAGGAGGGGAGGGATTACTCCTTGTTGTGATGGCCTTTGACCGCTACATCACCATCTGCCTGCCTCTGCAGTATTCAACTGTCATGAACTCTAGAGCCTGCTATGCAATGATGTTGGCTCTGTGGCTTGGGGGTTTTGTCCACTCCATTATCCAGGTGGTCCTCATCATCCGCTTGCCTTTTTGTGGCCCAAACCAGCTGGACAACTTCTTCTGTGATGTCCGACAGGTCATCAAGCTGGCTTGCACCGACATGTTTGTGGTGGAGCTTCTGATGGTCTTCAATAGTGGCCTGATGACACTCATGTGCTTTCTGGGACTTCTGGCCTCCTATGCAGTCATTCTTTGTCGCATACGAGCGTCTTCTTCTGAGGCAAAAAACAAGGCCATGTCCACATGCACCACCCATATCATTGTTATATTCTTCATGTTTGGACCTGGCATCTTCATCTACACGTGCCCCTTCAGGGCTTTCCCAGCCGACAAGGTGGTTTCTCTCTTCCACACAGTGATTCTTCCTTTGTTGAATCCTGTCATTTATACCCTTCATAACCAGGAAGTGAAAGCTTCCATGAAAAAGGTGTTTAATAAACACATAGCCTGAAAAAGGGCAAAAAAAAAAAGAATAAAAATAGACTGTAGAATTTTATCTGAAATTGATTTGTTTATTTCCAAGTACTGCAATCATTGAATACCTCCCATTTGTCAGGACTATTCTAGGAACTGAAGAAAGAAAGTATTGAGGCAGATAAGGTCTATCTGCTCTCCAAGAGATACAACCTAGTAAAAATAGACCGCCGTTAAGGTAGAAAATAAACAGCATAGTTTCAGGAAGAGATACTGCTCTGTAAAAACTAAAACGAAAAGTGAAATGATAAACTGTGACTCTGGATTGGGAGTAACCAATTTGTGTTTAATAATAAAAAAAGGCCTTGAAGAGCTGACATTTTGGATCATATCTGGATAAACTGAAGAAGCCAAACATGCAAACTTTTGTGGCTATAGTATGGTAGACAGAGGGCACAGGCAGTGCAAAAACTCAAAGATGATGATGAACTTGGTATATTTGAAGAATACAATAAAGTCCATGTTACCAAGAATATAGTAATTTAATGTGAAAATGATTAAACTTAAAGTTAGAGATACTGGTAGTGTCAAAAACATATGGTCTACATAGTAAATGTGAGTTTTCATTTTATTACAATTACAATAAGAAGCCATTCTGTGGCTTTAAGCAAAAGAGTGATTCCTCTACTGAAGGGTCATAAATGACTTAGGGCTGTAAACTCAAGATTCTATGCAGATATCAAAGAGTTGAAAAATATCATTAAGAGGAAAATATTATATTTGTAAGTGCACTTTGAAAGATATTAAACTACCAATTTTTCTTACATACGTAAGCAGAGAGTGGCAAAAGAAAGCTGGTTACTTTTACTGAAAAAGATCAAAAAAAATTTTACTTTTTTTTTCTGCAGCTTCATTATTAATCCTAGCAAATTTTTATGACTTTTAGCTGTATGTTTGACCTTATTGCCAATTGATTTCACTGTAAGTTTAATAATGACAGTCTTTTCATAGACCAATCAGGATTTTGTGTCAGAGAGAAGAAACCATTCCAGCTATTTTAAACAAAACATCATTTAATATCAAGAGAGGTGTTCACAAAATCACTGCAAAGTCTAGAACAGCAGACTATAGGCTGGACACCCAGAGATGACTTACAGACTAACACAGGTGACCTATGTTGTCAGGGAAGTTGTTCTTGCTACAATCTTAGCCATCTGTTGTCTGAAAAACACTACAATTTTAGCCATGTGCCTGGGATCAAGTTGATGATCCGGAATCACTTTGGACCTAACAAATCGCCCCTAGTATAACAGAAGCCTATCCTACTGCCTCCCTTTAACTAGCTTACTACATATTCAAATCTCAAATGAGTACATTAAATGGGCAGCATCCAAAACATCTGGAACCCCAAATGCAAGGGGGTCAAAAATTGAGTTTTAAAATATTTTATTTTTGATAAAAACCAAAGTTTATACTTAGGAATATAAATTTTGTACATGGTAAAAATATTCAGACTATAGAAAAAGTGGTCTGAATCTTCAAATAATCCTCCTCTATTATCACTCTGTTTATTGTGTTGCTTCCTGTTTTACTGAGAAAGGTAACAGGTGAGAATTCCTTAATCTCCCATCACTACCACTATACAACCTGCATCTGTGATTAAGTTTCCTTTAACTTCTCCTGAAACTGGGTGACCTGATCCTGCTCCTACAGAAGTAAACCCTTCCACCTGTGCACCAGATTCCATCCCGTCCTCTCTACTAAAGGCAATTACTCTGGTAACTCTCCTTTCTCTCACCTATAACATGAACTTTGTCCTCCCTATTGGGTGTAACCTTTAGCGTGTAACCGCATTTATTCCCTCCTAAATAAAACCTTCTTGCCACCTTTTCCCCTGTCCATGTCACTTCATGAGTCTTTGTGTCTCCACATGAATTTTAGGATTTTTAAAAATTTCTTTAAAAAATGATGTTGGGATTTTCACAGAGATTGTATTGAATCTATAGATTGCTTCAGGTAGTGTGGATATTTTAACAATATTAATTGTTCTATTCCATTAACACAGAAAGTCTTTCCGTTTATTTCCATCTGCTTTAATTTCTTTC